>NC_000010.11:5616060-5767575 GCF_000001405.40 Homo sapiens | reverse complement strand
AGGCAGGAGGCTTGCTTGAGGCCAGGGGTTCAAGACCAGCCTGGGTAACATAGTGAGAGCTCGTCTCTACAAAAACAAAAAACAAACAAACAAAAATGGCTAGGTGTGGTGGCACACACCTGTAGTCCTAGCTACTTGGGAGGCTGCGGTGGGAGAGGATCACTTGAGCTCAGGAGTTTGAGGTTACTGTAAGCTGTGATTGCATCCCTGTCTCCAACCTGGGTGACAGAGCCAGACTGTTAAAACACAAAAAAAAACCAATCACAAAAGATGATCTGTAGAACAAAGGGACTGGACTTAATCTTCCACAAGGTTCCCAGGCGGGTCCTGGGTCCTTGCAAGTCTGAAAAGAATAAAGGAGGTCCCAGAGTTTTTTTTTTTTGGCCTTTAAATGCTCTCCTATCCAAATGATTTTCTATCCTGGAAATGACACAGTTAACTGGATGAGTGGTATACAGACCAAGTCTAATCGAGAATTCTATCGTTATGCCAACTCAAAAGTGGTTTATGTGGATTCTGCAGTTTTACATTACTGTAATAAGTAAATGAGGACGTCAGTACTAAGTACATCCTTTCTTAGCCATTCAGAACCTTTCTAAATGCAAGGTCCAGAATGGAAGAATCTCCCAGAATAGTTAATATGGTTTGGCAGGTTTTTTAGTTAGGTATGACAGAGCTGTTAAGAGATCTCATTCCAAACTTCAGCAGTTCGCTACCACTTCAATTCTTAATCTCTAGTAGGTTAAAAGAAATTCCTATTGTTAAATATCTGTGTACTTTACATCCAACTCTGTCACCATTTAGAACTTAAGTGTAGAAGATCTTGCCTATTGAGAGTAATTTTAACTCACACCTCATGACATATGGGTGATACCTGAGTATGTTGGGTCCCAGATGGAGACACTTGAGGCAGTGAGCTGGTATCATTTGTTTCTAGATATCTACGTCTGCATGATCTCCTTTGCGCACAATGTAGCAGCACAAGGGAAGTACATTGCTATAGTTAGTACAACTGTGGAAACCAAGGAGCCTGAGAAGGAAATCAGACCAGCTTTGGAGCTCTTGGAACCAATTGAACAGAAGTGAGTTGTGTTCTTTTATATCTGCCGAGATGCAAACTGAGGCCTTTGATTGTGGCTCCATGGTGGGACGAATGTGAGGGCAAGGCAGGTAGCTGCTGGCTGCTCTGTGGGATTCATCTGTACCTCTCAGTTGACCTCAGGCAGAGCCATGGTCAGGTGTGGGACCAGCTCACCTGACTGAATTCTCTCTCCCTCCAGATTTGTTAGCATCAGTGACCTCCTGGTACCAAAAGACTTGGGAACAGAAAGCCAGGTGAGTATGGAAGTGTGAAAGGATATGGGCAGGTTTCACTGGAAGACATCCCTCCATGGTCTTAAGTCTTCGTAATTTTTGTTTTCAGATCTTTATTTCCCGCACATATGATGCCACCACTCATTTTGAGACAACGTGTGATGACATTAAAAACATCTATAAGAGGATGACAGGATCAGAGTTTGACTTTGAGGAAATGAAGCGCAAGAAGAATGACATCTATGGGGAAGACTAACAGCAGTACATGTTATTATGTAATTAGGACACATTTAAAATTTGGCAAATAATGCATATAATGAAATCAATATTGTAAGGCCTGCTTTTGTAATGAAAATGGAGAGAATGAAGAGCGCTGTGCCAGTAAATACTCCCCTTCACCTTTCTAATTATTAACTTGTTTTCATGGAGTGGCTATTCAGCATTGGCAGTTACCACATTCTGTTCAATTTAACCAAACTGGCTTTTTTTTTTTCTAGTGAAGTTAAACAAACATTGGGATACCGACACAGACAACTTGAGACAGTTTTTTTAATCTTTTAATCAGTGTAGCTATGTGCTGCTGCTGCTCAAGAGCTGGATCCATACAGGTTGTGTGTCATCTGTCCTCTTGAGGTTCAGGAGATTCTAAATTGAATATTCCACGGTTTGGGACAGCATCCGGAAGTTTTCCCTATGACTTTATATTTTGTATTATGTCAAATGTTATGGCAGGGCCCAAATAGCATAGCCACAAGTTTGGTTTATGTGGGCATAAAATTCTAACCAAACCCCAGACATAGGGAGTCATTTGGAGAAAGCCTGTATGTGGTGTTTTAACCTAATAAAGTTGATGAGAGAGAAGGGGAGAGGAAGCGAACATAAAGCGGGTCAAGTGTAGTGCATCTTTTGTATCTCAGGCGTGGCTTCTTCAGTGGACCAAGCTGCAATGCAGTATTGACTTGACAGAGCCTCTACTTCTGTCTCAAAATGGCTCCAAATGATTTCTGTACTGCAAAATAAAGCCAAATTCTGGAAACTACTGCCCGGTGTTGGTTTGTGTGTCCTGATTGCAAGGGTCACAGCTGCCGTGCTTCCTTTGGTAGCACTGGAGTCAATGCCAGTCAGAATGCTCAGCAGCGGAAAGCGTGGGTGTCTTCTGATCTGGAAGGATCACAGCAGGTCCTGTCGTCTGGCTTCCCTGTGAGTAGACCTCGAGTTTTATTCTTGACACAGTACCATTACTAGACCTATCATCTTTGTGCAGAAAAAATAGTGTTTAATGATTTTGCTTGTAGCAGCAGTTATAAGGGAGTAAGTGAACTGTCAGGTAGAGTAGGTGCTTTAGTAAATAATTTTTGTGTAGTTGAAATGATAAAGTGTTTACATATAAGGCCCTTTCCCCTGACAGTGATGAGCCTCACGGCAGATGCTGTTGTTTACCACAGATAAACACTGACTCTTCAGAGTATGAAGGAGACAGACTAAGGTAGATGATGTGTTAAAGGAACTAGGGTGGTGATTTAGATTGTTATTCATATTGCCAAAATGATGGAGCTTCTCGACTTCAGTTGATGTTTTGGGCTGGATCATTCTCTGTTGATAGGGTTGATTGTAGCAGCATCCCTGGCCTCCACACACTAGATGGCAACAGCACCATCTTGGAATGACAACCAAAAATGTCTCCAGATGTTGAGAACCACTGCTTTACCTGTATGATAAAATTATCTGAAGTCCCAGCAAGCCTTTTTCTCTTCCCATGCAAAGGCCCAAGCTGGGTTAGTAATAAGTGAAAAAAGAAAAACCACGCATCTTCATATTCTTCATTCAACGTATTTACTGAATACCTTGTGTGCCAGGCCAGTGGAGACAAAGATGATAATGGTAGTTACTGGGATAACTCAGTTTGGTGAACACATGATGTGGTTTGGTTATTAGTAGAGTTACAGAAAAGGTAGCATGGAAACTGAGATGGCCTCGTGGGTGTTGGAAGGCTTTTCAGCAAGGGGAGGTGAATGTTATTAGGTCCAACCTGAAAGGTGCATATTTCAGGCAGATAGATAGGTGTTTGGCATCTTATAACTGCTCACTTTCCTTTTCCTTAGTAATCTGAAAGTAATTCACTGTACTGAATAGTTAATGGTTCCCTTAATAGACTCTTGTCCTTGGAAAAATAAAATGAAATGACTGGGGTTCTATTAGTAACTGAAAAATTGTCAACAATTAAAACTCTAAAACCTACTCATGAGAAAATAAAGCTCTTTTGTTTAGGAATAATAAAAGCCGACTTAATGACTTCTGAAAGAAGTAAGTGTCCCTGTAAAGGCCAGGTGAAACTGCCATTCTTTAACCTGTTACTCGGTGTACTTGACTGCGGAAAGAACCCAGAAACAGAACAGGCCAGGCCCAAAGGATAGAAGTGTAGGTTTCCTCTGGAAGCTTACTGTTCTGCTAAATGACCTAAAAATTGCTAGAACACTCCAGATAAGTCAATTTCTGCTATAAAAATCATTGCAGAAAGAGATTATTTTTAGTTGTCTTTATTTAAAAAATGAAACACATTAGTTACAAAAACCGTTGCTCCAAATAGATACCGTGTATCTTACAAATGTTTTTTGCTTGGTTTTGAGTGTTTACTGTAGAAATTTTCAATATCATAAATAAATGATTATTTCTTTCTCAGAAAGCTGATTTTTGTAGTGTAGTATTTACAAATACCGTAAGTGAAAAATGATAGTTTATAAATTTGTACCATTTAGGAAAAAATGTTTTATGTAGTGTTGTTTGTGTAACAGCAAATAAAACCATTTAAGATTATAGTTTTTACAAGGGTGGTAAAACCTTTAAAACAGAGCATAATGTGCATCGTATGCCTTTCTGACATTAGCATGCAAAAACAAAGCTATTTGTTAAAATAGACTTATTTTTGCTCCAACTAAGTAAACATGTAAAATTATTTTTAATAAGCTCAATAGCTTAGAAGGCATCTTGTTTAAAATGAAAATAATTTAAAACAATATCTAGCACTGCAACCCAAAGCTAACAGACAACTGCAATGCCACTGTGACATATTTCAGCAAAATATAAAAAATGAAAACTTTCCAAGTTGTAGAACATTGGTTTTTCAAATGTAAGACTGTTCACATGTGTATTCACATGTTCACAAGTTTTCCAAAGGGAAAATACTAATTTTTTATTGGCATCATCCATATCCAGGCAGGCTGTAGTTGAGTCACCTGAAGAAACACAAAATTGATAAAGAACTTCTTAAAATAATACGAACAAGAAATATTTTATAAGCGGGATGCTCTAATGGGGAAAACGCCTATGCATTCTAAGGTTACATTATGTTCTGTACTGACGATCCAAGTTAACAGCAAGTGAAAATGCACATTAGATAAAATAGGTAATTTTAGTAGATGGTTACTTCATTTAGTGATAATTTAGGAATTCCTATTTATGCCAAATAGCAATTCCACCCCTAAACAAACACTTTAAATTTATAGCATGAAGTATGTAAACAACAGTTTCCCAACTGTTTCCCTTAGACACAAATGTCAATATTTGCCATCAACAACTCCAACTCACATGGGAAAGTTACATAAAAAGTGTTCTTACCAATAGCTACTCCTAAATGGAGCTGCTATTTTTTCTATGTTTTCTATAAAGTTATTTACATCTGTAACAAGGATTCCACTATTTTCAAAGACTTCTCTGGGGATAGTAGGCTTGTCTGTTAAAAAAAAAAAAAAACAACTTTTGGTTAATATAATTAATGTACTTTTATATAACAGGACCTGGTTTTTTATTTTAAAAAATCTGTGGAACTTCCTCGTGTGAGGGGTAGGGGGAGAAAAGGTGTTGGGTTCCAAATTAAGAAAAGATTTGAAGCTTTGGAAATAGATGCCTCCATCGGGGGTGGTGGTTAAAGTACTGAAAAAAAATCCCTGAAAAATGATAACTATGGTTCTTTACGTAAATTTTTCTTAACACTTTTTTTTTTTTTTTTTTAAAGATAGATAGGGTCTTGTTCTGCCACCCAGGTTACAGTGCAGTGGTGTGATGACGGCTCACTGCAGCCTCGAGCAATCCTTCTGCCTTAACCCAAGTAGCTAGGACTATAGGCACACATCACCACACCTGCCAACTTCTGTAGAGATGAGGTCTCGCTAAGTTGCCCAGGCTGGCCTCAAATTCCTGGGCTCAGTGATCCACCTGCTTCAGCCTCCCAAAGTGCTGGCATTACAGGCGTGAGCCACTGTCCCTGGCTGCCCCACAAATTTTTTAAAAGCAACCTCTGCCTCCGGGGTTCAAGCCATTCTCCTGCCTCGGCCTCCCAAGTAGCTGGGACTACTGGCATGAACCACCACACCTGACTAATTTTTGTATTTTTAGTAGAGATGGGGTTTCACCATGTTGGCTAGGCTGGTCTCTAACTCCTGACCTCAAGTGATCCGCCCGCCTCGGCCTCCCAAAGTGCTGGGATTACAGGTGTGAGCCACTGCACCCAGCCCCAGTATTGATTTAAAAAATAATACGGTATAACTACTTATACTGTATTGAGTATTATAAGTAATCTAGAACTGACTTACATACATAGGAGGATTGTGTAGTTACCTGCAAATACTACATTTTATATAAGGGCTTCAGCTTCAGCAGATTTGGGTGATTCTGGTATCCATGGGATGCCAAGCCATTTAGATACCTGATACTCTTCATCAGGTATCTAACTTTGACATTCCTAGAGCTGACCAATTTTGGCATTAACTGAGTAAAATGCGCCTGTGAATTACCTGTTAGGAGGACAGCAAACCTGGCATCAATATGCTGAATTTGCAGGTTTAGCAAACATTTCAGAATTTCTGCTTTTGTTGATGATCGAGAGTCACACTGGTGATAATGAAGCAATTCAATGATATTTGCACTCTGAAATGACTTCAACATTATGTTCTTCTTATGTGCAGTTGAATCCACTCTGTGAAAGATACATAGGCATATTAAAATATTTTTCAGTTTTATTCTTAGGACTTTTTCTTGCCTTCAGTTTAACCATTCAAACTCATGAGTTCCTCTGCCTTTCTTCTTGACGTTCTTTTTCATGACACACTTTGGTTACCTCAAAACATCACAATTGTACCTACTCCTTTTGTAAATGTGGATTTTAAACATGGGCCTCATTCTAAGAGGGACATCATGCATCTACCTACGACCAATCAAGCCATGTGGCTTGGCAAGCCTTTCATGAATTTCGAGTGGGCCTTATTGCGTTGTATATTTGTAGAGCAATGCACATCTATACTTCTCATACCTTGTGGGCAGATAATCGCCAACTTCATTAAAATTAGGTAGCAGCCAGAATTTTCTTGGTTTCTTGCTTCCCTGAAAATTCTATCACTACTAGGAAAATGTGTTAACTCAGTATGTTTAAATTTTTAGCATTTCTGTCTCTGCTCGACTCCCGTCTCTCTAGTTTTCATCACTTACATTCTCATGCTTGTTGGAGAAAACCCAAATCACACCCATTCCCATAACCCTAGTGATAATCACTCTTAACATCATGAATTAATTTCCTTTCACTTTTTCCTGTATAAATTTTTTATGACATCATACTGAACATAGTTACATGATACCAACTTTTATGCCATCCCTCTTTCTATGAATAGAAACTTTTTACATGCTTCTATTGTGTAAGTTTTGGGTGGGCATTATTTTGTATAAACTTTAAAATATTTAACTGTAGTCTGCATATCTCCCTCCTAGAGATGGAACTGAGGTTGGTTTTGCAATGACTGATAACCACCTAGAATTTTGGGTAAATTCCACAAAAGGTCAAAGGATATGAAGAGTTTTCTAATGAGTTCTCAATAATACATAACGCCTGTTACATAATGCCAGAGTGGTATAATATGAAGAGCATACTGCAGCGCCAACAGCAGTGAGTACGGGCATGTACCACATAATGATGTTTCAGTCAATGACGGACCACATATACAATGGTGGTCCCATAAAATTATACTACTGTAATTTACTGAACCTTTTTTGTGTTTAGACACACAGATACCACCATTGCATTAAATCTGCCTACAGTATTCAGTACAGTCACATGTACAGGTTTGCAATCTAGGAGTAGGCTCTACCATATCAGTTTGTGTAAGTACACTCTATGTCTGCACATAGACAAAATCGTCTTATGACGTTTCTCAGGCTGTATCCCCGTCGTTAAGTGACATGACTTTCTCTACCCAAAGCCCTAGAAGTGCTAGATTGATTTATGCTTATTTTATAGGTGTGCTGTGGTACATCAGAACCTTAAATGTGCTTCTCTACTTACCGAAGTTGACGTTTTTCCCCTCAAGTGCTGGTTACTGAAGTCCGCTGTGAATGGTCATACCCTTGACCTGCTGAAGCCTTTGCACCCTCCTTTCCTGCCAAGGAAACCTCTGTGCTCCTTCTCTCCTTTGCTAGCTCCACTTCAAGAGAAAAGCTTTCTGAGATTCTGTTCCTCAAAGGTCACATACAGCTAACAGTCGTTTCGTCTTTCTGGGATTGAAACCCAGCTTCATAACTTACTACTTGTTTGACCTTGGTCATGTTTGTTATCTACTCTGCTTCAGTTCTGCATTATAAAAGTGAGGATTTGCTATCTAGCTCCTGGGGATGAAGTCTGAATGAAAATGGATGCACCTAACAGTGCCTGAAATCCTTATTTCACAAGGGCTTGTCAGGTCTGCTTTTCCAATTGGTCCTGCTTGTGAGAATGTGGAGGAATCTCTCAGCCCCAGCTCTCTTCAGCCAAGGAATCAAACATGTATTTTTTTCTTTTATAAATTACAGCTTTAGACTTAGTGAAGTTTGCGTATTTATAAGCCTCTTCTTTTAGGGTACAACTGAATTAAGGATAGATTATGGTCTTAATTTTTCCATTCTCCTTAAAGTGGTGGCAACTTATAAGTATCCAAAAAAGCATTAATGGTACAAGTTCCATATATTTTTTAAAGTTTGTAGTAGTAGGGCTTAAATAGAATATGGACATTTCATGACTGCTAAGTTTGACTCCCTTACTTCTGTTAGTCTAGATAAGTACATGCCTCATACTGTTGGCTACGGTCACAGCACATAGCTTCCTTCATTGAATACAGAGCCAGCAGCCCTCATGCTCTTTACTGATGAAGGCCATTCCACTGCAGCACTAGGCTAGAGCCCATGGAACATGAGGCGTTTCTCTGCTACCCCAGCAGGGCAGGAGGAACCATACACACAGCAAGTCCTTACCTTTCATCTTCTTTTAGCTTTTTATTTTCCCTGTAGTGAAGCAACCACTTCCATCTTCCATTTCCATTTAGTTTTTCCAGGATTTTGATAATTTCCTTCAGTTGAACTACAAAACAATAAATGTAGCAAAAGAAGATGACAAGTTTAAGGTACTTTTGGCTCATGCCAAGCCCAGTGATAATTATTTGTAAAACAAGAAAAAAACAGACTAAGACCCATGGTTGAGTACACACCATCACTGTCACTTATGTGGTTGGGCAGCATCCTGCTCTCACAAGCCCCTCAGCCTGGTCCCACCTGCTCACACTATGGTGGGAGATAACTCTGTAGACACGAACACAGTGGAGTGGTCACCAGCAACTAGAGTTCTGTGTACAAATTGTGTGACAGAAGAGAAGCAGGAGGCCCCGATGCAGTAGAGAAATGAAGTTTCTAAATACAGAATCCTTTTTTTTTGAGACAGGGTTTCGGCTGTCACCCAGGCTGGAGTGTGGTGGCATGATCTCAGCTCACTATAGCCTCAACCTCCTGGGCTCAAGTAATCCTCCATCCTTAGTCTCCTTAGCTGGGACTACAGGCACACACTACCACAGCTGGCTAGTATTTTTATTTTTTGTAGAGATGGGATCTCACTATGTTGCCCAGGCTGGTCTTGAACTCCTGATCTCCAGGGATCCTCCTGCCTTGGCCTCCCAAAGTGTTGGGATTACAGACGTGTGCCTACAAATATTTAAAATCCCAGGTTCTGTGTAGAAGTCACACTGGTTAAGGTACATGCTGCTTTTGATCTAGAAGTGGTATCACTTCCAATGTGATCAGAGCCGGGGCAGGTTTTATACATAAAAGTGCCCTGAGAGAAGTAAAGTATGAGTTTTCAAGTAGATGATTAAATAAGCTGACTTAGTAGCCATTTTTTAGATTTTTGTGACATCAAGATGGTAGGGGTGTTGACATCAGAAATGGAGAAGGTTGACTTTAAGCAAACAATTTAATATGGAGCTGCTCTGACTTGGCAAGTGAAGAGACTAAATATAATAAAATCCTGAATTTGTGTTACTAGGAGCTTAGCTGCACTACCGAGAGGGAGGGAACTCAGAAGCAAGTGTGGTGGTAAGAATCAGTTAAAAGAGGTGAAAAGCATTGCTATAAGAGAATCACTGTATGAAAAGAGCACAGCAGACAGCAGAAATTATGCCTCAGTAGGGGGCAACTGATATTCCTTAGAGTTGATCATTTCTTTTGGATGAAACAGTATTTAGGTCACTGGGTGAGAAGTTGATCTGACTTCAAAGAAACAGGAAAAGAAAATAAAGACCAACCTAATGTTACAGCTTCTAGTATCTTGTCATCTGATATCACAAAGCCTCCTGCACGAAACAGTTCTTGGTAGGTGTGATCAAGAACATCTCCAGGGCTGTCTACTCCAGCAAAGATGACACTGGGGAAATGCTTCAGCTTCAGCAAAGAAGGAATCTGCATGACACAAAAAGGACCCCGGTGAAGAGAGGCTCACTGGGCACATTTTCTTAGACACTCCCTTGCTTTTCTATCCAAGAGAGTCAAGGTTCAGGAACAACTGAAAATATTTCAACCTGGATTACCGACTGGTCATTCTGCCCTGCATGAGGCATATTAACTGAGCTCATCATCACCAGGGGCTGCAAACTCAACAAAATTAGTTCATTAAAAAAAGGTCTCAAACTCCCAAAGGTTGGAAATAACACGTCATGAGGGAAGAGGACACATCTGAGGTTGTGGGCACTGAAAAGTGAGGTCACCTCACTTCGCCGTCATTCGTCTCCAGCTCCCCTTGGTGCCAGCACCGACGACTGCCTGCTGATGACGGCAGGTTTATGCACCCAGCCTTTGTCCGTAGTTGGGTCTTCTTGAGACAAGCAATTACTTTGATTCAACTAGCTGGTAAATATAATGGTTCAGAAAATTTCCAAAAGGTCTTTTAAGGCAAGATTTCTTATTGTTAGACATCAAGTGATGCAGATTTATATCTCAGATGAAAAAATTTAGCAACCTCTCACCTAAGTCTCCCTTAGTTAATATGATTTTTTTAACCATCTGCCCTACAAATAACTTGGTAATATTGCAGTATTCTATAATACACCATCTTCCCACTTAAAGGCCCAACAGTAATGTCTGTTAGCTTCTCTTCTACATAAAAAAAGAGGGATGAGTCTGAGCATTACAGAACAACTTATGTGCCTGGAATACGTTTCTTTGTAAGGTATTTCCAACCGACCTGATGCAAATGTGATGATATATCTTCATTTCTGATGATGATGATTAGTGTATCATTCTCTCTGTGGAAAGCTTGACAGAAGTGCTGAGGTTCAATTTCTGTATGGCCTCCTTTCCTCAGAAGGTTCTGAAAGATTTACAAATAGCCATTATTAAAAAAAGGGTACTTCCACAGAACTACCTGTATAGTTTATTAAAATAATGAAAAGCAGTATAGTCTAATAAGGCAACCATAAATGACAATTTGTCTTATTACTAAATAAGCACCTTTTATATATAAAATAAATGAATCAGGTATTGTTAACAACTGGACTTAGAAGTTGATTTCAAAGGTAAATAAAGTATCAAAGGCTGATTTTCTTTTAGAACATCAGAATAATCTACATAAATGAGTTTCATCTGCTTCAAGGCATGAGCTACCTTGAGAATACCAGATATATACTTTAAAAATGCTACCTGTAGTTAAAGCATTTCTAGAGCTTTAAAAAACAATACCCATGTATTTCTTTACCATTAAAGGGGACTGATTTTGGAGTCAGCAGTCCCTTGGGTCTACGTCTCAGAATAAGACAGGTGATGCAGTTGAAACAGCATGCGATTGTACGGTGCCACTGCAGTGCAGCCCAGTACAATCAACACACAGAATGGCTCCCTAATCATCCTGACTGGGAGGGTAAATTTGTGTAATTAAATAAATTCTATAATCCTACACTCCCTATGACTTTGACATTTCTTTGCTTTTTTTTTTGAGACATGGTCTCACTCTGTCACCCAGGCTGCAGTAAAGTGAAACGAACATAGCTCACTGCAGCTTTGACCTCCCGGGCTCAAGCAATCCTCCTACCTCAGCCTCCCAGGTAGCTAGGGCTACAGGTGCACATCACTGGGCCCGGCTTTTTTTTTCTTTTTGGTAGAAATGGAGGTCTATGTTGCTCAGGCTGGCCTCAAGCAGTGTTGCCCAAGCTAGTCTCAAGCAGTTCTCTTACCTCAGCCTCCCAAAGTACTAGGATTCCGGGCATGAACCGTGGCACCTGGCCTTGACATTGACTATCTGGCTGAAGGATTCTGGGTTTCTGTTATGCCCAGAAGACTGCCTGACCATCACTTATTTCCTTCATAAAAGTGAAGTGTTACTTTGATCTGTTTCCCTTGGATCTTTTTTTTTTGAGATGTTGTCTTACTCTGTCACCCAGGCTGGAGTGCAGTGGTGAAATCTCGGCTCACTGCAACCCCTGCCTCCTGGGTTCAAGTGATTCACCTCCCTGAGCCTCCCTAGTAGCTGGGATTACAGGTGCCCGCCACCACGCCTGGCTTATTTTTGTCATTTTTAGTAGAGATGGGGTTTCACCATGTTGGCCAGGCTGGTCTCAAACTCCTGACTTCAAGCGATCCGCCTGCCTTGGCCTCCCAAAGTGCTGGGATTACAGGCGAGAGCCACTGTGTGGCTCCCTTGGATCTTTAAACAACTCAAATTCTGACTATTTCAATTCATTCAAAGTATATGGTATGATTTTCAAAAAAATTCTTATGAGATTTAACGAAGAGCTTACTGAAATATCTAGGCATAAATCTCTAGTCTTCATTTATTTGACTAACAAATTATTTGAATGAATACATTTTCATCAAATCCTGTGGTGGTCTGACCTATTCTGTCACACCCTCAGATTTCTCTTTTTTTTTTTTTTTTTTTTTTGAGACAAGAGTCTTGCTCTGTTGCCCAGGCTGGAGTGCAGTGGCGCGATCTCGGCTCACTGCAAGCTCTGCCTCCCGGGTTCACGCCATTCTCCTGCCTCAGCCTCCCGAGTAGCTGGGACTACAGGCACCCGCCACCACGCCCAGCTAATTTCTTTTTGTATTTTTAGTAGAGATGGGGTTTCACGGTGTTAGCCAGGAAGGTCTCAATCTCCTGACCTTGTGATCCGCCCACCTCGGCCTCCCAAAGTGCTGGGATTACAGGCGTGAGCCACCGCGCCCGGCCGTGTCCACTTTCTCAGTTGACAAGTAGTTTTACCTTTGCACATTTGTTATTTTCTGTTGTAAACAGTGACACCACGTGATAAAATATTATGAAACAATACATTCACTATAGAAACAAGCAAGATATCTAGAAGAACTCCTGCTATGGAGTTCGAGACCAGCCTGGCCAACATGGTGAAACCCCATCTCTACTAAAAATACAAAAATTAGCCAGGCATGGTGGCACGCACCTGTAATCCCAGCTATTCGAGAAGGTGAGGCAGGAGAATCACTTGAAACCAGAAGACGGAGGCTGCAGTGAGCTGAGATCGCGCCACTGCACTCCAGCCTGGGCGACAAGAGCAAAACTTCATCTCAATTAAAAAAAAAAAAGTACTTCTGCTATGAATAAAACTTAGCATTGCCATGCTCTCTTCTTCATGAAAATCATTATCACTTCATCTGGAAAGGAAGTGAGAACTAAGATTACTGCTCTGTTGTGGAGTCTCACTCTGTCGGGCAGGCTGGGAGCACAGTGGCTTACTACAACCTCCACATCCTGGGTTCAAGTGATTCTCCTGCCTTAGCCTCCCGAGTACCACAAGCGCGCGCCGCCACACCCGGCTAATTTTTTTATTTTTAGTAGAGACGGGGTTTCACTATATTGGCTAGGCTGGTCTCCAACTCCTGACTTCAGGTGATCCACCTGCCTCGGCCTCCCAAAGTGCTGGGATTACAGGCATGAGCACTGCACCCTCTGTTGCTTTTTGAGAAGATGGAAGCTGAAAGAAACCAAGTATTTTGCTCACTGTGCCAAAACGTGTACGTGACCAAGATGCTGACTTGGTTGATTCTAGAGTCACTCTATCTCATGTCAGGGTAGAGGATGTATAATTAATCAAATAAAATTAACCTGAATTCAAGGTAAAAGAAAAAAACTAAACTGATTTCCAGATTGCTTTTGGAGGCTGAGGGCCTTCCCAAAGACTGAAGAGAGTGAAGACCATTCAATAACTTTTCAACTACAGTGCTGCTTACCGAAATGGCAAGGAACTTGGAGCAAAGACAACAGAGGGAATATAAAACCAAATCCGGCAACCATTCATTAAGAATCTCGGCAAACAGGCTGGGCGGAGTGGCTCATGCCTGTAATCCCAGCACTTTGGGAGGCCAAGGTAGGCGGATCACAAGGTCAGGAGATTGAGACCATCCTAACACGGTGAAACTCCATCTCTACTAAAAAACACAAAAAAATTAGCTGGGCATGGTGGCGGGCGCCTGTAGTCCCAGCTACTCCGGAGGCAGAGGCAGGAGAATGGTGTGAATGCGGGAGACAGAGCTTGCAGTGAGCCGAGATCGCGCCACTGCACTCCAGTCTGGGTGACAGAGCGAGACTCTGTCTCAAAAAACAAACAAACAAACAAACAAACCTTGGCAAACAAAAGGATCCTCAGCCAGGGAAAAAGAATACAATTAGGCTAAAGAGCAGCTTCCACAAGTTTGAAGAAAACATTTACAGTCATAGTTAGTTGACTCAAAATAGGAGCCACCTTGCAGAACAGAGCTGTGACTCTAGCAACAATGGAGTTTCACGTTAAGGCAGTGACTGTCATTTTTCCAATCTCTTCTCCATCCGCTAAGATATCGTCCTAAAATGCAAATATGATGCTACTTCTTTCTTAAAGGATCTTTTACAACAAATCACAACCAGTTTTTAAAGAATTTAAAAAATCCTTCCCTACTCCGCCTGCTTCACTTGAAAAAAAAACCTTTAAAAACATCTTTTAGAAAACTTCATCTCTGGCGGTCTAGTGGTTAGGAGGAAAAAACCTAACAGAACCTTTCCAGTGGCTCCCAGCGACCTCAGGATGAAGTCTAAATAGCTCAGTGTGACTTAAGGCCCTGCCACTGCCATATGAGGCGTGAGGCTGTTCTCTCCCACAGCCCAGCCTGAGCCTCTGGCTGACATGGCTCACTCACTCTGACCAGCCCTCTGGCACAAGGAGGCTGTTCCCTGTGGTGTTTGCCAGCTACACACCTCCATATGAGAAGAGCAGGGCAGACCAAGAAATCTTTATGCAGCTCTGTGGTTTCTGCAGTGGCCTTAGTACTCCAGATGAGAAGTGGTCTTGTGACCCTGCACCCAGGGGACACTGTGACAATAAGGGACACGTGTCCTTCATTACTAAGTAACTCGTTACTCAGTAATCCAGCCCCCATGGACTCGCCACGTGACATTCTGGAGTTAGCGCAGGAAATCAGCAGAAGTGATGTAAGTGAAGTCTGAGACAGACCCAGTGGGCATGTGGAGCCGACACACGGCCTGCACGTGGCCTGCAGGCCCCTCATGTGTGGAACCGACACACGGCACGTCCAGTTTTGCACGCGGCCTGCAGGCCCCTATGCTCTGCTTTCTGTGCTGCAGCACTTCCTGAGCAAAGACCTCCCCGGCCAGGCCAATCACCCTCAATGCGTCCTCGTGGCACCTGCGTCACATTTACCATCACTTTCATTTCACATTTATTTGTGTGACTCTTTTAATCAGTGTTTTCCTTGTCCCATTAGACTATAAGAATCATGACAAAAAAGCAACATCCCCCCCACCTGCACATGTTGGGGCTCTGAGGTAGATACTAAACAGGACTGCTGACATCTGAATGGAGCTTTCTGCTGCAAGGGTAGGGGGAGGGCAGCTGGCCCGCGCTCAGGTCAGGGAGTTTCGGGAGGTCAGGATTAGTGCCTCAGTGAGGGGTCTCATTATACCTGGGGTTGGGAGGAGGATGGGGGAGGGGGACTTGGGAGGGACAATAAGTCAAAACACTGAGGATAAACAGAGTCAACCTCAGAGAAGGGAGCTCCACACATGGAGAAGGAGGCTAGCACAAACCTGGCAGTACTGGACTAGAATTGGGGATGAGTGTGAACTCCTCTGTTTTTGCTTTTTATACATAAATAGAGATGTAGATATACGTATGTACATATGTATATTTCTTGGCTTTATGTGCTGAGAGGACCTAGAAGCAAAGACACCAAGTGACACTGAGTTCATTCACGCAGTGCCTAGATGGTGGTTCTAAATGCCATTCTTCACTAAAGAGTCACAGCTCCTTGGAGAAATGCTTGACTTCAAGACTAGGGCAAGGAAAATACACGATAAGCCTGGAACATTATGTTACACCCCAAAGTAAAGAAGTGCCCGAAGAATTATGGCGAATTGTCAAAAGGACACAGAAGCCAACTTAAAGGGACTCCCACTGGCTGGGTCTGGGACAATCTAAGTATTAAAATAATGAAGAAACAGATGATAACCCTTTAAGTAAAACAAAATGTGCCATGGTCCATAGTGATACAGATAAGCAAATGAATAGATGAATGGAAAATAAGGGAAAGCTCTATTCTACAGCCGAATACCAACTAATAAATGCAGAAGGAATCTGGTGGAATTTCAGTATCACTATTTGGCAATCATCATAGTAATAACTGATTCAGATAAGAATCACCAGTCGATGTTAAATCTAGTGGATAAAAGTCTGATAAGGAATAGGATTTTACACAGTCTCAAGTTAGCTCCCAACTTATTACTAAGTTCAACATAACTTTACACTGGAGAAACCTGGCAGAAATCATCTTAACCAAGTGAAAAGGTTAATATACCAGTAAGGGGATAAATCAACATCGGGTGCCTCCTGATACAATGAATGCACTGACAAGAGCACTACATGATATCTGAGTATTCTCATCTAAAATGCCTAAGTCATGGAGAAACAACACATGAACACAAACGGAAGGAAATTCCACCAAATAACTGGCCTACAGTCTTCAAAACTGTTAAGGTCATAAAAGACAAGGAATAACAGAGGAACTATTGCAGACTGAAGACATGACAATTCTAGACACCTATGATCCTAGACCTAGATGAGGTTAATGGAGATGGTCACTTTAATTAATATTATATGAACTTCCTGATGCACAGGGTTGTTCTGTGGTTAAAAAGATGAGGATCCTTGAACTCAGGTAATACACATTTAAGTATCAAGAGGTAATGGGACACTGTGTGTGCAACACATTTGCAAATGGTTCAGAAATGTTAATATTGGGGTATCTGGGTAAAGGGTACTATTTCTGCAACCTTTATGTAAATTTGAAATTAAAAACAATTAAATTTTTAAAAATACTGTCTATGCCCGAAATAGAAGAGAAATAAATTCTGGGAGGATAAAACAATGAAGTTAATGGTGAATCAAGACAGGTTCAATCAAGACAGGCTCCGCCCATGCCAGAATTTCACCATGGTTCCATTACTTAAATTTAAGGACTATGTACTCCATGTACTCACCGTAACATCAGTTATCCTAACATTCAAATTCAAATTAAAAATATATCCAAAACCAAAAGAGGTCCTACTTGACCACCCACACTAACGGACAATCTACAACCACTTTTCAAAAAATCTGTATTTTAACATCGGAATGTGTTTGTATTTACACTTGAAGTATGGGCATGTCTACACTGGTAACTTTTTGTGAAAAAAAATTAGTCATTGCCCTAATTCTGGAACATAATACTAATTTTCAAATATAGTACAAATGGCAGATCCTGCAGGAAAACATTTAGTATGCAGATAAAGACTAAGCTGTGAAATTTAAATACTATGTCATACCATGATTTCTTTTTGATGGCTAATATGCTAAATTTATTATTTCTAAAACTAAAATCAGCAATTAAAATAATACGTAAGACGTGGCTGGCACTTTACCTTTGTTCTTACAAAGAATGATTTGTCTTCTGTTTCGACAAGGTAGAACAGGAAGGTACTTTTACAAGCCTCTTTCACAACACTTCTTAGTTTGACGTGCAAATTGGTGCACACGTCTATGATTATGTCTTCATAGGAGGCTGACCGTCCTGGGAAAGGCAGATACATCTCTTGAGCAGTGGCTTCTCCAGAAACATCATTTAGCTCTTTGTCTTGGAAAATGAATTGGTTGCTATTCTTCATCACCTTGTTGAATTCAGCATACTCATTGAGAATAAGTGAAATATCATTCCGAGATTCCTTCACAGTACTGTTGTATTTCAGTTTGTTGAGGTGGAATGAAACAGTGTGATTTCTTTGAGAATTTCTAAGATCTCTATTATGACTACATCTCTCTCTCCAAGAGGAAGAGCTGTCCAGACTGCTGGCTGTGTAGCCTCTCCTGGGCTGCCCCTGTGGTCTGGGATCTGACTCCACAACTGTTACCAGAAGGGGGCTTCTGCTCCTAGGTGCAGGATGCAGAAATGGGGCCTCAGAGATTTTTGTCGAAGGGAAAGCACCAATGGAGATCTGGGTTGGTGACTCCTTTGGAAAGACATTGGCAGAGGAGGCAGAATGCTGAGAATCCCCATTCTTTATGGTCTGTTTTAGTTTATGTGCAAAACGCAGATACTCCAGGTCTAAAGTGTTCTGGGTGAGGTCGTCTGCCACCTGCCAAGTGCTTGTCCAGGAGCTGGGCAGGCCACAGTTTGCACTGAAACTCGGGTGCCTCCTCAGGCCGTGTGAAGTTCTCATGGTATCTTTGAGTTCTTTTGTTATAGAGAAGTTGGCGTAAGTCCTGAGGATCCCGTGGAGATCTCGGATTTGGACGTAAGGCGGCACACACTTCTCTTCTTTCTTTACCGCAGCAGTCCAGTGCCCGGGAGGGAGGCTCGTCTCCATGCCTGGAACCCAGCTAGAGCAGCCCCAGTCCTCTTGGTTGTTGTTGTGGAAGTTCAACGACGACTCATAGCCATCTGTGGGAACATCTTTTTTCCTGGTGTAACTACCTCTTAAAGTATAAGAATCCTCCAAATCCAGTCTGGGATTTCTACAATCACCAAGCAGGTCTAGATCAGAATCTCCAGAGAGTTCATAGTGCATGTCGGAATTCACACCGACCTCTCCATCTCTGCCTAGGGTTTCAGAACCAGCCTCAGCCCTGAGCCCCTCCCCACTGTTCTCAATTTCTACGTGCTCTGTGGCTATTCCACAAACAGAAGTATCAAAGGATTCTGAAACAAAGGAGGCCAAAGGCTCTTTACTGAGGTTTTCCTTGGTGTCTGCTGTATTTTGGTAGGGACCAGCACAAAGGGAGGAAACCCCGACATTCAATAGCTCCTTTGTTTCACATGTTGACACATCTTGCAGCGTGTGGATGGCTTTGCGTTCACCTTTTAGAGAAGATGTGGTGTTGGACTGAGGGCCAGCAGTGCCTGGACCTGTGGTTTCTTTATGTAACTCAGCTTCAGGCTCACCATTCTTAAGCAAACTGGCCATTCTGCCTGCTGGTATTTCCTGTGCTTGAAACACTGGCTCTGCATTTATTGGTCTTACATAATGGGTTAATGTAGCATTGTCTGAGGAAGAACAAAGCGTGGGGACCACTGAGCACATGCATCCCTGTGTAGAATAAGCTCCATCAACCGAGGCAGCTGTCAAGGACTTCACCTGCAGATAAATGCCTTCATCTGTTTTCAAATCACCGGGAAAGAGATGGTTCTGACTGCTTTTAGGGCTAGTCTGCTGTTTTACTGACACATTCACTATACCACTTGGTGCAGTTGTGGAAACCAATGTGTCAGACAAAGACTTATTTTCAATAACATTTCTAGGACCAAATGGAGGTTCACTGGACTCCAAGACAAGATGTTTTAAGTCCAAATTTCTATTCTCTATACTAACTGGCTGCAATGGATTTCCTGATTTTACCAGTTTTTCAGGAGAAGGACTGAAGTCACCTGTGCATTTGGCAGCTGAGGCAGGCTGGTTTAACTCCCTACCATAGCACTGCACCTTTCCTGAGAAAGATAAACCCTCATCATGCTCACTTGAGACAATTTCCTCAGTTACTTTACCAGGAAGGGTTGGTCTACCTGTTCTTCCTGGATGATCAGTTAATATTAGAGGCATTTCGGCAGAGACCTGCATTTGTTGTACCTGGGTAAAGTTATCTTGCCCCACTGGATGGGTAGGACCAACAAAAACATTTTCTTTTTCTGTTATGCCTAAGTCTTCTGACTCACATTGGGAGATTTGGTTGCTCTTCTCACACTGTGTACCATGAAGTTTTAAAATGCATGGAGTCACAGCCTGATATGGTCGTGTCTCTTTAACTGGTACTGGAGGTTCAGGACTAGACGCTGGTGATACTTCTTCAATTACAGAATCAAAGGGAAAATCAGAGGTCACATTAATTTCCTCTGCAATCTCAAGGGTGCAATTTTCTTTAGAAAGTATTAAAGTAACTGGTTGTAAATTATCCCCCTTTCTCTCCTTATTTTCTACTGGTTCTTCTGACACTGAGGGATATACTGACACATTGTCAGCAGAACTCACTTCTCTGCTTTCTGTGAGAGCCACCTCTTCCGGTTCACCTATTTCCTCAGCTACATCCTGAAGTTCTAAATTTGAGAATGGGGCCTCCTCAAATTGCTCTATTTCACCAGCTGGCATTTCTTCTCTGGGACTTGTAGGTGGTGATATTGTTAGAGCTAAGTCAATGTCAGAATCTTCCTCTGATAACTCTAGGCTGACCTCTCTACTCACAGACAGGCTTGTTTGTTTGATAAATACTGAATCAAACGCTTCCAAATTCATATTTTCAGTGTTTGGACCATTCTTGTGATTCTTCCTTAGTTCTAAAGAGTCACCTGATGTGTGGCATCCTGACGAAATGCAGTTAAGTGAACACTGCCTTCCCAAGGTGGTAGAGGCTGATGATGAGTCCACTTCAACCTGTGTCAGTTCTAGAAGCCCTTCTGAAGATAGGCCGAGGAGACTCTGAGTCTGTGAAAGGAAATCCTGAGTGCATCTCACTTCTTCACTGGGTGATAGATGACTAGAACTTTTAGCTAATGATAGTGCCTCCATGACCATTGTTTTATCAGATGGTAGAGAGACTGGAAGGGGCGTCTCCTTCTGTAATGAACACACTGCTTTATCAAGTGTCTCTCCACCTACTGACGAGGCACAAAGGTACTTAGTGCCCTTCTGTCCTGCAACTACTAGAGAGGGAATGTCCCTCAGGCCTTGTGTTCGTGCATTTTCCGAGGTGGATACAGGATGTCTAAGGCTTGCAGCAGGTGATACTTGCTTAATCAACTCCTTCTTAAAGGTTGTACGTTCATCAGCAGTATTTACACCTTCTGTCTGTATTGGTACATGTGCATTTTTTTCAAAGGTGAGAGTAATTGGTTCCGGGTTAATCACTGCACACCCCATATTATCATCCTTTCTTTCCAAGGAAGGGTGACATTCATTGTTTATGGGGCTGCCATGTTGGATAAGGTCCTGTAAAGTACCTGTTTTTGTTTGCACTGCTGCATCAAGAATATCCACTTTGTTTTCAAGGGTGCCGTACACAGAGCTCTGACATATCACTGGCTGACTGCCAGGCCCATCGTAAGTCCTGGTGAATGTGGCTTGAGTAACAGTGCCACTGTAAGAAGCCACTCTTGTGCTATCCAGTGGCTGAACAATTTCTTCTTCACTAGGAACAGAAGGTCCATTAGTTTGTGTACTTCCAATACCCGAAAGCACAAGATTAGAAGTCTCCAATGATTCTTGTTTAGCTTCTTCCCCAGTTACCTGAAACGGCCAAAGTAAAAAAAAAAAAAAATCAGTCATATAAAATGTTTTTTATACGATTATATGTACATGTGAAGAACAGAAAAGATAAAAATTAATTTTAGTTTGTGAATGTTCTTCTGAATTTTCTAGCTAAAAGAATATCACAGGGTACAAATCAAGCAAGTCCCTCTTTTAAAGGCAGACTTAAAATACCCCCCAGTGGGATTTGTTTTCTTTAAAACCACACACAGAAGAGAGCTCCAAGCTTTTTGGAAGAAAAATAACTAGACCACTGACAATTTAAAAGACTTTAAATGCAGCCTGTTTGCTACTTAGCACCGCTTAATCCAGAAGTGTAGCACTAGAGAAAAAGCATTCAATTTTGTTTTTAATAAATGAGATTAATTTTTTTTTTTTCAAGACAGCGTCTTGCTTTATCGAACAGGCTGCAGTGCAGTGGAGTGATCTTGGCTCACTGCAACCTCTGCCTCCCGGGTTTAAGTGACTCTCTGCCTCAGCCTCCCGAGTAGCTGGGATTACAGGTACATGCCACCATGCCCGGCTAATTTTTGTATTTTTAGTAGAGATGAGGTTTAGCCACGTTGGCCAGGCTGGTCTCAAACTCCTGACCTCAAGTGATCCACCCACCTCGGCCTCCCAAAGTGCTGGGATTACAGGTGTGAGCCACTGTGCCCAGCCTAAAAGATAATTTTTAAAAAGCAAATAACATTTTTAACATCCGTTTTCAATTAGACCATAAGTACACCATCATCTGAAACTTTCCCATGAGGCAACAGAGTAAATTAATTACTACCCCCTGTACTCAGAATACATTGATTCTAGTCAACAAAGGCCCCTCATCCCTTAGCTATCTTCTTTGCATGAAACTGGAGATTCTTTCTCATTTGAATACCTATTGTACATGGCAATTGAAAACTTTATCAATGCAGTTTGCAATCATAAACTGAACTAAAGGCACTGATTTAAACAGTAGCAAGCAGGATTTAGGTTAAACATTAGCAGAGCTATCATCTCAGGACAGTTCTCATAACCTCATAAACAGGGTGGTATTTGTTTTTTGTTTTATTTAAAGCCTCAAGCATGGCCTTGTCGAGCATATAATAAAATGAACTGATTATACAACTGATCACACCCCTCTGCAATGCTGGGAACACCATGCTCACAAACTGCGTGCCATGTCTTGAAGCATACATGTTGGAAATCAGGAACTGTGTTCCAAATCTCTTGTTAAAAACATTTCTGTCTTAGGTAGGGCACGGCTTCTCACGCCTGTAATCTCAGAACTTTGGGAGGCTGTGGTGGGCGGATCACTATAGGCCAGAAGTTCGAGACCAGCCTGGCCAACATGGCGAAACCTAGTCTCTACTAAAAATACAAAAATTACCCAGGAGTGGTGGCATGCACCTGTAATCCCAGCTACTCGGGAGGCTGAGGCAGAGTCACTTGAACCCGGGAGGCGGAGGCTGCAGTCTCAAAAAAACCAAACCAAACAAACTCATTTCTGGCTGGAGCAGTGGCTCACGAGACTCTGTCTCAAACAAAACAAAACAAACAAACCAACCAACCATTTCTGGCTGGGGGCAGTGGCTCACGCCTGTAATCCCCAGCACTTTGGGAGGCTGAGGCAGGTGGATTGCCTAAGGTTAGGAGTTATAGACCAGCTTGGCCAACATGGTGAAACCCTGTCTCTACTAAAAATACAAAAATCAGCCAGGTGTGGTGGCAGGCGCCTATAATCCCAGCTACTAGGGAGGCTGAGGCAGGAGAATCAGTTGAACCAGGGAGGTGAAGCTTGCAGTGAGCCGAGATCGTGCCATTGTACTCCAGCCTGGGAGACAAGAGTGAGACTTCTCAAAACAAAACAAAACAAAACAAAACAAAAAAACAGAGTCAACAGTGTGGGGCTGAGACAACAGAGTTTTAAGAGAACAAAGTATTAGAAAAGTCTTGAGAGTCAGTGTCCTTCTGAGAACTTTAATGGCCCTCCCAATCATGTGGCTGGTAACGTTTAGCCTCAGTCCTAAATCTCACCATGACTGTAGTCTTAGTGAAATGCAAATAGTGACAATCTTGATATATTTCTATTTCGATATATTTTTACTACAGGTAAAGTGTAATGCTTCTAAAATAAAGTCTGACAATTCAGAAAGAGTGCTCAACTCAACACATGACTAGCAGCAACATGCTTTTGGTTTCTAGTGCCTATCATGCTAGAATCCTCTTCTTCACATTCCAGTGTGCCAACTGGTGGAGGGAGTGCGATAGCACACGTGTGCCTTTCAAGTACAGGCACAGCATTCAACAAGATGACAAAAAAACAAAAGCCTACGTAAGTACATACTAAGGAGATTGTTAGGAATCACTGATTTGAACAGTCAGGCTTGCCAAAATCATTGCTAAAATTAGTACTGATGATAGTTAATTACATATTACCACGACAAATGGTATTTTATAAGAAACTAGCATGTATATATGTATTAATTTAAATCTCCCTGACTAGACTATATTTTCTTATTCTAAGGTGGTGATTCTTAACTGGATTTTATGTAATTCTTTGAGAATAGGATGGAACTGCTGAACCCCATCTTTAGGGGAAAAAAAAAGCACATACATAGTTAACATTTAGGTTTTCTAGACTGGAATCTTGGCTTGACAATTTTCTATGTGACTTTAGGCAATTTCTTTACTTCTCTATGCTTTAGTCTCGTCATCTATGTAATGGGGAGATTAATAGTCTTTAACTTATTTGAGAATGAACTGAGTTAATATGAGTGAAGGGCTTAGAACTCTTACTTTCTGGCACACAGTGACCCAGAAATCTTTAATTCTCATGATGATGACAATCACTTGAAGATATTCACGGGTTCTATGAGGCTCACCCAAGGACCTCCAAGTCCCCGGTGACCCCGGGTATAGGAACACTGTCTACTCTTTCTTAAGACAGGAATCAGAGATGCTGCCCAAACCCAAGCAATATTATTCTAGAATAAATTTGGGCGGAAAACTTTAAAAGGTAGGTAATTTTGTCAATTCATTTGCTTAGAATTTTGTTAACAACTTTTAGATTTGCTCCAGGTAAAATTTGGATTATCTGGCCTGGTTGAATGTCAGTTGAGAACAAGGAACAAAACAAAGTATATTTTCCATATTTACAAATAGTTATTTGCAATGGGTCTTCTTTCACAGGTCTGGCATTTTACTATTCCAGCATCTGTCTTCAAAAATAATTTTAATACAATTAATTTTAGTTTACTTTAAGGTTTATCAAAGTATATCTAAGATTTATTATTGCTATATTTGATCCTTAAACAATATTCTACATAAGACTTGATAGGTATTAAGTCACCTCTTTTAAAAATTAGGCAAAGAAGCAATTTGCCCCAAATTATGCTGGGCTCCCAGATCATGTGGACCCTGTGACATTTTTCTACTCTGGTTTTTTTCAATCGGGATGGCAGGTAAGCTCTACCTGCAGACAATTCAAGGACACTTCATGAAAACTAGGTTTTTGGTGTAATAGTTCTTTACATACCTTGAGAATTCACTGTCCTAAAATTTAAAAATGCCTTGTTTTGAATGTGATTTTACATATAAACATTTTTTTCTTCAAAAATAATGCCAACATTTAACGGTATTCAGCTTTACATACCTCATTATTGTAAGAACAGATGAAATTCTGGTCTTCTTGGGTGTCTGGATCACACTCTCTTGCAAAAGTTTTTTTCTGTTCATTTTGTACACAGAGTTCCAAGCCTTGGGTAAGTGGTGTTTTAATGAAAGGAAGCAAGCAGTTAGGATCACGGAAGGATACTTCAGCAGCATGAGCCCTGGAAATTTCGTTAGTCTCCAACAGAGAGTCTGCAGAACATTTTTCCAAACCAAGGGACTCCTCAATTTCACGGAGCTCACAAGATTCTAACGTGCTATTTATAGACACATATTTTGCTGGGTTGCTGTGTTCTACAACCTTTCGGGAAGATCGTATGATTTTGTTCTGATTGCTGTAAAACAGAGCTACCCACATATGAAGTAAAAGCTTCACTTCTTCCACATTATCAGGCAAATCAGTATTCCAGGGCCTAAGAGTTTACAGAAAGAACACATGAAAATCATTGAAAATGGTTATTTTAGTTGATTACCTTATCATAAGCAAGTGCCTCCAATATTCCTTAGTTTTTGTTTTTATTTTTAAAATTTACAGATATGAAACATGAATGAGTAAATATGTAGTTGACTTAACAAATAATTATCCATCTAACCCACTCATTTTACAGAGACGGGAACTGAGAATCAGAACATGTAATTGCCTTCTTTCAAATCACAAAACCTGTATGGCAGAACCATGATCTGAACATGGGTAGCACGTGTCTTTTACACCATACAAATTCACTCTGGACACAGAATACTTATTATAGAAATGGTTTCGCCAATACCCAAATCCTCATCACCATGCTTTTGCTAAGTCTGGCTGATTCATTTATTTTCCATTTTTGTGTCTCTCTTCTAATAATTGAGAAAGTCTGAAGATAAAATATCTCTCTGGGCAATTCAACAGAACTATACTATTTTCAGACTACAGTTCTGCAAAATATCCTGAAACAGTAAGGGGAAATAGAAAACATTTCTGGCCACCTGGCAGGCAAAAGGATGGCAGATCGCTGGAGTACCATAAGTCAGGGGGGCTGCAGAGTTGGGCAATAGCTAAACAGGAAGTTCTAAGGAAATGACCCTTATGAGTATATATGAACAGGTGTATAGAAGAAAGCCTGACAGCTGTAGAGTCCATATAGTCAGATGTGAAACAGTTCATTAATAGGGAGCTGAATGTCAATTCATATAGCTAATGAATGCTTGCTAACAGTGATGGTTACCATTTATTACTACTACTGGCCAGTCACTGTGCATCTCAATATATGTAACCTCAGGACACAGCTACATAATTAAATGTTGGCCACAGACTGTCATCCACCATTGATATCACCTGAAAATTTGTTAGAAATGCAGAATGTCAGGCCTCTCCCAAGGAGAATGCATCAAAATCTGCAGTTCAGTGAAATCTCTAGATGAGCAGCACACACAATTAAGAAGCACTGTCCAGAAGCAAGAAACTTGCCCAGGATCACAGGAGGTAAGAAAGGGAAAGAACCCGGGTTCAAATCTAGGTTAGTCTACACTCCAAAGCCTGTGCTGTTCACCACTCTGTTATTACTGACTTGATTCCTTCTTAAGGGAGATCTATAGAACAATCTTATGTGAAACTGCTTACTCCTATCAATCTGACCAATTTACCAAGCTACAGTGATTTTTAAAATGTTTCTTCTGGAATTCAGTCTGTAAAGCATTATTTCTAAATCTCACACTATTTTACATTAAGATCTCATCTAAAAATTGAAATTCAAAAGCCACAAGGGCTTACGAGGGAGCATTGCAAAATGGAAAGCTATTCATTAGGCTAAAATTATCTTTAAAAACTTCTCCACATGAGCACAGGGGGAAAACCAGCCTGTTACTCTTAATTGCCAGGAAACATGTTTGCTTGATGTTATTATCAAATTACTGGTTTTAAACACAACACTTCTTTCTCCTTCTCCAGAGTTTGGCATAAGTTTCCCCATCTCACTACATTCATCTCAACAGAAAAGTTTCATCCATTTTCACTAAGTTTCACTCATACTCACCCATGTAATGCTCTTACTACAGTTTTCTCCAGTGGGTTGTTGGTATATTTGCTGTCTAAACTGAATGCATATTCTGTTTCACATTTGAAAGTGATCTTAACGGAGTCATCACAGCTAAGCACTATACGAGAGCAAGAAGATTTTTTCACACGGGCAGACGGTGGTCGATCCTTGGGCTTCACCACGGGGTCGTCAGGAGGCTTTTGCTGAAGCAAAAGGCCGGGCTGATGCCGAAATGGCATGACTTTCCCCACTGGGGTTGCTGCTTCAGGGCTTTTTGTCCCATTCCTGGGAAACAGAGGGCTTAGTATCTCTCTCTCCTGTAGATGTTTCTTTGAATGTTCTGTAAGGAGCAGGGCATATGAATGTTCCACAGAAACAGAAGAGCTTTGGCTTGCATCTGAAGATTCTAGCATTTCCTCAGTAAGTGCTGACTGGGCTTTAGCAGGGGCCTGACTACAAGGAACCAAGCTTTCTTCATCTTGGCTAACTGTTAAGTCTGATCCAGAATTACTCTTCCTATCAGAAGATGGGTTAGGTAGTAATTCACCTTTTTGAGTTTTAACTCCTCTATGATATTCATGGTCAGATGTACCTCGCAAAGAATTTTCTTTAGAGAGCAAAACATCATTTTGTGGCAATTCAGAGGAACAGTGAAGATTTCTAGCCTCAGATACTGGTGTGGAAGAAGTAGCAGAGCTTAATGCTAGATCGGCTAACATATTTAGGGCCTGGGAGTCATAGTTGACGATGGAGTTTTCAGGAAGATCATTGTGAGCCGCTGTGGTATTTTCTGGTTGAACACTATTTATGCTAATCCCATCTTCTTGACAACCTCTTGAAATTTCTGATTGAAGCTTTGAAGCAGTTTCTCCTTTGACTTCAGTATAAAAGAAAAAAAAAAGAGAGATGTTTGCTTGTCATAGAATTAACTCTCTGCCATATTACTATGATGGTTAATTCAACATGTCTGAGAAAAACTTATGTAACATATATTGCATATTAAAATTTTCTATTAGATTAAGGTCTCTTCCAACCCTCAGATAAAACTTATGTTATACATATTGCATATTAAAATTTTCTATTGGATTAAGGTCTCTTTCAACCCTCAGATTATAATGTGTTAAACCAGAGGGACAAGTCTTAAGGAATGTGTACATTAATTTAGAAAGAAATTATCCTTCAAAAACATATGAACTGATCTACACAGAAGACATACAGCTCAGCTCAAAAAATGTACAAACAAAAAAACCCAAAAAAGATGAGAGTCCTGCCCTTGGGAGCTTACAATCTAATAAGGACAGGAATGTAGAAGTTTCAAGTGTGTATGAGTTTGCTAACATACTTTCTCAGGAACCATTTCCCTGAACAAGCGATTTATTAGAGAAACTACCTAAGTTCAAATGATTTTAACTATATTGATCTTTAATTACATGATGTGATAGAAATAAAAAATTAGAAAAGTCCTAAGAGTATTCAGAATCATCAATTAATTCCATTACCTTTTAAAATTTTACTTTCATTACCAAAAACATTGACCTTTTACATTATCCAAGAAAGAGCAAATCTACTGACAATGTTCCCTTTTACAGATAATCAAATCTATCCATATGCCCTTAATCAGAACATTTACATTTGCCAGTGGTTTCCCTTGGTATTTTCAACGTATTCATTATTCCTTCCTAAATGCTGTTATTATGAAGGATAAACTTCACAACTCTGCTAGGCAATGATTCCCTGCTGCAGGTAGACAGATGACCAGAAAAGCCAACTATGTTCCTCTTTATCATAGTAGCAGGTCCAAAATGAATTAACAACCTGCCAGCCAAGGCCAATGAGTAACACATTTAAAGAGAAGACAGCTCCAGCCTATGATGTCATCAATTAGAACGACAAGGGCATGCACATACATGGGGAAAGGGTTAAACTGATCAACGACTGCCCAGTTTTTATTTAAAACAGCAAACTCAAAGGGGACAGGTGGATGAAAAGGACCCAAAGCAGATAATTGTCTTGTTAGTCCCACAGGTATACTGGAAACATAAAATTAATTTTGTGATCTGATGCTAATTTCATTCTTTGTTAATATTATGGCCTCCATCTACTTATCCCTTACACAAAATATTACTTACCAGTAAGGCCTAATATAAAAGATACTGTATTAAAATAAAGAAAAATGGTAGTTTAACATATTATAGTCTCACATAAATCACCCAGTTATTAACGTGTTACAGGTTCCCAATTAAAAAAACACCACCCATAATTTCTATTTAAGACATACATAAGACAATGCCAAAGGAACTACATTAAAAAAAAGTTCAGTGAATAAAAAGGACAGAAAATCATGTTTCATTAACAAAAGGACTGTCTGACTTCAAAATTATCATTTGATTCTAATTTAAATCAGTAATTTGCAAACTGAGGTCAATGTGGCTATGTTTCATCTGCCTTCTTAAACGTTGATATTTTAAGTATAAGAAGTAAAATGATTAACATAGGTGCTTAAGAAAAAAATTCAGAGATTTAAATGTAGTCATTCAAAAATGTTAACTTGGAATGTGGCTGCACAATACCTACAGACATTTGCAATACAAATCAGCCTGTATTTGAACACACATTTTGAAACTTTAAATTTTCTGGGCTCACTTTTCTGCCAGTATGCAATTATATACCTCCTCGCATTAATCAATTTGTCAATAAACATCTGAAGCCAATTCAGTACAAAGAATGCAAATGACACTGCTAGGAACACAAGATGTTACCTATTCTCATGTTTACAAATTGGAAAGATTGGACCAAGACATGTCAGATGAATTGAAAACAGTATGAATTAAATTATAGAATGTTCTCAAATATCCCAAAGAAGTGAGAGATTAGTTACAGTCACAACATGAGAAAACGCCTCCCTGTGGGGATAAATCTAGCTGCAGGCCCCTGAAGGGCAGAGGTTGCCTGGGGGAGGCACAGAGGGCCGCAGGGGAAGGAGCACGGTGGCAACAGCAGAGGCACAACGCAGAGAGGGGAGGTACAGCCACACCATAAACTCCCGAGAGGGACAAGCAGAAGAGCTCAAATCTGGTATGGAAGCCAAAACTGCAGCATATGGGTTTTTGAATGACATGATGAGCTTTTAAAAAAATCTTCAGTCATAAAACAATCTGAAAAAACTTAAAGAATCTCAGGGTATGCTTAAGTTGAAAAAAAAAACAAAAAAACTAAAAAAAACAAACCTGGCTGGGCGTGGTGGCTCACACCTGTAATCCCAGCACTTTGGGAGGCCGAGGCAGGCAGAGCATGAGGTCAAGAGGTCAAGAAGTTGAGACTATCCTGGCCAAAATGGTTAAACCCCATCTCTACTAAAAATACAAAAATTAGCCAGGCGTGGTGGCATGCACCTGTAGTCCTAGCTACTCGGGAGACTGAGGCAGGAAAACTGCTTGAACCTGGGAGGCAGAGGTTGCAGTGAGCCGAGATCGTGCTACTGCACTCCAGCCTGGTGACAGAGTGAGATTCTATCTCAAAACAAAACAAAACAAAACAACAATCCAATTTCTTTCTCTGAATTCTCACTCTCTGTGAGATAGTAACATCTAGTAATAGATGAGGGAGAAAGTAGAATCAGGAAAACCAGACAGAAAACTCATAGAAAGATAGGAGAGAATGAAGTCTCTCCGTTAAACAAAACAAAAAAAATACACACACACCACAAAAAAATCAATACCAAAGGGAAAAAAAATTAAGGAAAGTAGATCCAGGAGGAAAGCTGGTATTTGTCTCACTAAGGTGACAACAAAACTTTCTAGTACAGAGGTTATATCTAGCAGTTGAAAATACAAAACTGGAGCAGTTCATGTGACTAAACTTGATTCTTTACTTAAGCAAAGTTAAATCAGTAAAACTACTTTTAAAATTAATGCCTTTTAAAACCAAATACAGGATTCTCAGCCAGGCATGGTAGCTCATGCCTGTAATCCTAACACTTTGGGAGGCTGAGCCAGGCAGGATCACTTGAGCTCAGGAGTTCAAGACCAGCCTAGGCAACATGGTGAAACCCCGTCTCTCTCTCTTTTTTTTTTTTCTGAGACGGAGTCTCGCTCTGTCGCCCAGACTGGAGTGCAGTGGCGCGATCTCGGCTCACCACAACCTCTGCCCCCCAGGTTCAAGCGATTCTCCTGCCTCAGCCTCCCGAGTAGCTGGGATTACAGGCATGTGCCACCACGCCTGGCTAATTTTGTATTTTTAGTAGAGACAGGGTTTCTCCATGTTGGTCAGGCTGGTCTGGAACTCCTGACCTCAAGATCCACCCACCTCGGCCTCACAAAGTGCTGGGATTACAGGCGTGAGACACCGCGCCTGGCCAAAACCTGGTCTCTGTAAAAAAATACAAAAAAATTAGCTGAGCATGGTGGTACGTGCTTGTAGTCCCAGCTATTTGAGGGGGCTGAGGTGGGAGGAGCCCTTGAGCCCAGGAGGTCAAGGTTGCAGTGATTGTAAAGTGAGACCCTGTCTCTAAATAAATAAAACTAAATACAGGATTCTGGATTACTGACAGTTTTGGACAGTCTGTTTATAATTCCCTTTAGATAAACTTATAATCTTCTATTTTTATAATTGATAATGGTCTAGAAAAATAATGCCAGATACTACTTGCTTCTGCATTTAGTCATAAATAAGGCCATTTATACTTTAATGCTTGTAGACAATTCATGTTCAGGCTTTTTGCAAAGTAAAAAGTAGGCTCTATGTTTTTGAAGGTTTGAGCTTTTGTACCTTCCTAATTTATTTACATTAGGAAACCAGTTTACTTAGTTTTTTTAATGTCTGAACTGAAAAACACAGAAAAAATTATTGGGACATTGCAACTGCTCTTACACTATTTCAATAAATTATCTTGCACTCTCTGTTAGATCTGTATTGGGGTGTTTAAATTTATAGGAAGAGTATTTCTTACCAGGTTGTAGCTGCTTTCTGTTTCTGGGGTTCTCATTGCCTTTTACTATATTTACTCTCTGTTTTTGTGGAGATTTCTTCACAGGTGGCTTAGCCCTTGGAACAGTTTTGACTGGAGATTTCTCTTGTTTCCTTGCCCTTTTAGCATTTGTTGGCACTGGAACATCTTTAGAAATAGGAGCTTCTTGGTTTTTCCTATCCAATTTGGTTTTCTGTACAAACTGTGCAGTCAGCACTTCCGCACCTTATGTAGAAAAGACATCATTTTTGTAAGGGGTAGGGGCCCAGATACTTAGCATAGCTTTTCCATTTTTTGTTTTGTTTTGTTTTTATTTTGGGGACAGTAACTTTAGTAATGGGGAATAAACTATGAAGTTTCAGGTATTTAATTAAAAGATTTTAACAAATCAAAAGTTAAACATTCTCACATAAATATAATATGAACTTGCTAAGTGTCTGCCTATATCCCTATCAGATGAAGAAGAAAAAGATCAGAGTAATAACTTTGTAACAACTGAAAAAAAAAGAAAAACAAACAAACAAACAAAACTTTGGGCTGGGAGTGGTGGCTCACACTTGTAATCCCAGTATGTTGGGGGGCCATGACGGACGGACTGCTTGAGCCCAGGAGTAGGAGACCAACCTGGGCAACATGGCAAGACACTGTACAAAAAAATAAACAAATTAGCAAGGAGTGGTGGCATGTGCCCATAGTCCCAGCTATTCGAGAGGCTGGGGTGGGAGGATAACTGGAGCCCACACCACTGTACTCCAGGCTGGGCAAGAGTGAGACCCTGTCTCAAAAAAAAAAAAAAAAAAAAAAAAAAAAAATCTTCATAACCTTTCCTGACTAATGTGACAGGTAAGACTGAATATGCTAGATCACAGCCCCAGGATATAGATATTTCTGTTTAAACAAACAGCAGCACAGCTTCCATAAGGTGAAGTGGTTAAAACTATAACCACACTGCAGAGAAGAGTTGTATAGACAGCAATATATTTGGAGAGCCATATTATATATTTTACGTTACTACTTGTAAACATCTAAATTTTAATACCATCTGAAAAACAATCTTTTAAAAGATGGGAAGCCTGAGGAAAGTGTGCACCTGGTTTTATTTCTAACAAATCTGCTATCTTACACAATGATGACTCTTAGAAGCGCTCTGGGAAGCCTGAGGAAAGTGTGCACCTGGTTTTATTTCTAACAAATCTACTATCTTACACAATGGTGTCTCTTAGAAGCGCTCTGCTTTGCTTCTCACATGGCATAAAAATAGCTAAAGGTGGAGCTAAAGGATGGGAAGAAAAAGGAAATACTAAACACCTGCTTATAATGCACAACAGAAAGTGTTTCAATCTTTTAAGAGTTAAAATTAAGCCTCAAAGATATCATATGAAATAATCACACATTTAATGTTGGCAAATATTTTTAAATTACATTATACAGAAGACGCTACTTCTCACTAAGGACACTAAAAATGATATTAAACAGTTTAAGAAACTGATCAGTGTTAGTGAAATGTAGGAGAAAAAAGGAGACCCATTTCATTTCATTCTTTTGGGGGTTAGCGAAATGAATAGTTTTAAAAATGTTTTCAGAATATCTTAATGCTGTACATTTCAAGTCTGATTATCTTCCTCCCTACCAAATTATTATATTAATAAGTACTAAAGCAGCGTATTTTTTTTTAACAATAAGACTTCTTATTACACTCTAATTACATTTTCTAAAATCTTCAGCATAGGGAAGAGCAAAATAAAAATAAATCAGGAAAACAGTTAAGACTAAATTAAAAAGAAAAAGATTAGACAACCAAGACCCAGGGGGAAACTTTCTAATATTTGTACAAACAGAAAAGGAAGATATTCCCAAGTACTCCCAGGTGTTGGGAGAAAAAAGAAAAATGAAACAAAGTGATCCTGCATAGATTGTTTTGTTTACATGTAACATTCAATACCATGCTTCTCAAACTGAATGCAATTAATCCACTGGTGGGTTGTAAAATAAATTCAATGTGTCACAACTAGAATTCTTTCTTTTTTTTTGAGATGCAGTCTTGCTCTGTCACCCAGGCTGGAGTGCAGTGCAGCTCACTGCAACCTCTCCCTCCCAGGTTCAAGAGATTCTCGTGTCTCAGCCTCCCAAGTTGCTGGGATTACAGGCAAGTGCCCCCATACCTGGCTATTTTTTGTGTTTTTAGTAGAGACGGGGTTTCACCATGTTGGCCAGGCAGGTCTCGAACTCCTGGCCTCAAGTGATCCACCCGCCTCAGCCTCCCAAAGTGTTAGGATTATAGGCATGAGCCACCACACCCAGCCCAGAACTCTTAAATGAAACAGAATAGAAGGTATCAGACTGTATTACACATAATTTTTTTTTGAAATTTTTGTTCCAGTCATGTATGAACTTGTAGGTACCGGAATATAATATCAAACATATTTCTTACAGTGGATATAATTAAAAACATCTGAGAAACAGTGACAATTTATGTTGAGTTATAGATAACTGATTCAATACCTTAAATTGGTTCATGCAGAACAGTATGGTTGGCCTGGAATCTGTTTTACAGATAGTTGTATAGTCTGGTGCACTGCTTTATACTACCATACTTTCCACTTACCCTCCTAAGTACGCACATCTCCACCCCGTTCCTCAAGCCACAATAAGCCAGAAACCACTATTTATGAAGCCACAGGATAAAACCAAGGTTGGGTACAGTGGCTGACGCCTGTAATCCCAACACTTTGGGAGGCTGAGGCAGGAGCATCAGTTCAAAGTCTAGCTTGGGAAACATAGCAAGACGTCATCTCTACAAAAAAATTTTAAAAATTAGTGGGGCACCCCTGTAGTTCCAGCTACTCCAGAGGCTGAGGCAGGAAGATCACTTGAGCCCAGGAGTTTGAGACTGCAGTGAGCTATGATCATGTCACTCAACTCCAGCCTGGCTGACAGAGAGATCCTGTTTCTAAACAAAAACAGAAAACTCCAAACAAAAAAAACTCCATAGGGTAAACTCTGAATTATTTAGAATCCTGGGATTACCATACCCTAGACGTTTCTTCTTTAGGCACCAACATTTCCAAATTCAAAATATTACAGATTGGCTTGGCAAACTTTTCTGTGAGGGGCCATAGAGTACATACTTTCAGCTTTGAAGGTCATGTGGCTTCTGTCACAGCTGCTCAGCTCTGCCAACACGGCATGAGAGCAGCCAGAGACGACACAGGCACAACCGAGTGGCCCCTTGGCCATAATGTGCTGCCTTCTTCTCCAAAGGAGTCACCCATATACTTCCCTACTCTTTTAGAGAAAATAGAGTAAAACACAATTTGAGATGACTCTAAACCAAAGTCATATGATTTGCTGTCCTATGTTCACTGAAATACATTTGCCAATACATTAAGTGGCTAGGCCAAAGTCATATGGTTTGCTGTGCTATGTTCACTGAAATACATCTGCCAATACACTAAGTAGCTCAAGACTCTAATTCTCACTCAATTTTTCAGGGAGCATCAAAACCACACGAATAATCCAGGTGCTCACGTAAAAACTCTGTGATACACATAAAGGATTAGAAACTCTGCCCCAGACTATTTTACTTTTGGAGGTCCCAGGCATTTCCCTCCTCTCGATAGGTGTTGAGGCTGTCAGCTATCACGGTTTGCTGGTACTGATGTGCCTGATTTTAGAAGAACCTTTTCTACCTCCATTTGTGAAGAGGATGGCACAGAAACTAGATGGTTGTCTTTCTTAGAATGGAACATACACGTGTGGGTGGTTTTACATGTGGAACATAACATGTTGGTGGTGGGTAGGCTTTTGAGGTATCTTGGTCTTTCCTATTTCTTGGTTTTCAGTTGCTATCTCAATCAGAGCTTGTCAGGCATTAGGAGGCACACAAATTGCCTGGAGAGAAATGATGGTGATTCTAACAATCTTCTAACTGATGCTGCAAAGCTGCAGTCCACAGGGACCAAGACAGCAGAGGGATCGAATACAACAACTATTATTATTATTGAGATGGAGATTTGCTCGTCACCCAGGCGGGAGCGCAATGGCGTGATCTCGGCTCACTGCAACCTCTGTCTCTTGGGTTCAAATGATTCTTGTGCCTCAACCTTCCGAGTAGCTAGGACTACAGGCACGCACCGCCACACCCAACTAATTTTGTATTTTTAGTAGAGACAGGGTGTCACCGTATTGGTCAGACTGGTCTCAAACTCCTGACCTTAGGTGATCCACCCACTTGGTTTCCCAAAGTGCTGGGATTACAGGCATGAGCCACCAACGCCTGGCCACAACTATTATTATAATAACCCACATAAATAAATCGTGCTTACCTCTTTTTCTTTTCTGAGGAAACTGTCCTTTAACTAACTTAAGAGTTGTTGGAGAGTCCGAGCTGTTGTCTGCTCTGGAAGCAGTTCTTTTGGGAAAGGGGCGGCACAAGTTCACCTTTTTACTCTGCACCATGTGGGGCATGCTGGCCTTCCTCTTAGGCTGCACTCTCAGATTTGACGCTGGACTCAATGGAAAAACTCTCTTCTTTGCTTTCAACATTTCTTCAGAATCCTTTTTTGTTTCAGTTTCTTTTCTCACTTCTGCCTCTGAGACAAGAAATTCAGGATCTGGAGTCATAACTAAGGAAAATCCAGCATCACAAATTCCGTCTGAAACACAAGGAGACTGAGGATGCTCTGCTAGCAAGTCCAAAGCAGTAGACACTTCCAAAATGTAAGCACTAGGGTCTGAAAAATAAGAGTTCAACTGAGTTAAAGACTCTGAAGGGCACTTTTCAGCTGGAGGAATCAAGTCAAAACCACTGGGCAGTTTCCCCAAGAATGTAGGGTCTTTCATTCTATCCTGAGGAGCAACACTCAATGAAGGGCTTCTGTCCGCCTTGTACAATTCTTGGAAATGACGCTTTACTAATGTGTTTGGATGGATTCTTTCTTCAGGAAGTGATTTCTTTGTTTCTAGCAGGGCACAATTAAGGGTAGATAAAATAGGTATCACCTTCATTGAGATGTCATCTTCAACTTTCAAATCTTTCACCCCTAGAATATATACACACGTATTAAACATCTGAAGTTTATTTTTTAAAAACAAAACATTCTGGAAAAAAAAGCTTTAGATTTCAAAATTATGTGATGGTTAAATATGTTATAGTATTTCAAATGACAACCTAAATGGCAATTAATAGAAGACTTAGAGGTACATTTAACAAATGTATCTCCATATACTTGAAATTACATACACACACACACTGAACTGAAAAAGAATCATCTGACATGCAATCACTAGGTTAGAACAAGTAAACTAAACCCTGCCTCCAGCTCCATCTCACCTAACAAGGAGCTCATGAGCTCAATGGTTCATCACAGCAGTACCACTGGTCTTTAGAGCTGGCAGATTTGCTTTCGTACTTTTTCTTATTTTGTTTTAAAATTTATTTTACTGTAGCTGTACCTTACTGAACTCACTTCAAATTCTTTTCAGAAGTTAGTGCAAGTCAACTGAACTGAAAAAAGTAGAAGCCCTAAATAATGCTGGAATCTCACTGGAATGATTATTGCTAACTTTATCACCTTTTCTAGCAAATGAAATAAAAACTTCTAAAACTGACTAGTCTATGTTTCACCTCCTCTCCTGCTTTGACTGAAGTGCTAATTTTTCCTTTTTTTTGAAAATGAATAAAGGAAACAGTAAAAGGGAAAAAAAAAGAGAAAAGGTCTGGTCCCTATGAACTGGGTAATAAAATCCTATAAAATTTCAGAGTTGTCAGTAATATAAAGCCACAAGAAACAACAGCCTTCAGGGCCTAGTAAGTGAAAATAAAAATTGTACCATTCTTTTTAAAGAAAAGTAACTTCAGAATGAAACACAAAGTTAGTTCTAGTTAAATACATTAGCACTAAAGCAGTTATTAGAAAAAGGAAATGAAGGACAAATAACAGTAAAAAGGAAAATGTGGCCAGATATCAAAATAAAAATTTTTGTATTTTTTGTAGACATGGGATTTGTCATGTTGCTCAGGCTGGTCTTGAACGAGTGGGCTCAAGTGATCTACCTGCCTCAGCCTCCTGGAGTGCTGGGATTACAGGCGTGAGCCACCACTCCGGGCACAACGTTTTTATAAACCAAATTGTTTTAAAGTTATTGCTCTGGTCTTTTTGTTGTTTTGTTTTGTTTTGTTTTAACTCAGTCTTGCTCTGTCACCCAGGCTGGAGTGCAGTGGTGTGATCTCATCTCACTGCAACCTCCGCCTCCTGGGTTCAAGCAATTCTGTGTCTCAGTCTCCCGAGTAGCTGGAATTATATGCATGTGCCACCACACCTAACTAATTTTTGTATTTTTAGTAGAGATGGGGTTTCACCATGTTGGCCAGGCTAGTCTCCAACTCCTGGCCTCAAGTGATCCGCCCGCCTTGGCCTCCCAAAGTGCTGGGATTACAGGCGTGAGCCACTATGCCCGGCCACTCTTTTTCTTCTTCACCTGATACAAATATAGGCAAAAAGTTAGCAAGTTCATATCATATTTATGTGAGAATTTTAAACTTGCGCTTTGTTAAAATCTTTTAATGAAATACCTGAAACTTTATAGTTTACAACTAAAAAACAAAAATAAAATAAAATGAAATTAGAAATCTTACAGGAGCCAGATCTGAAGTTAGCTGTTAGACCCTGAACAAGTTCAACTCTGAGTTTCTTCATCTTTGAAATCGTTATAGGAGTACTTATTTTATGGATTGCTAAGTCCATTACTTCCACCACAAAACCTGACATGATAAATGCTTGAAAAATGCAAACGGTCGCTGCCAATTATGTTATTATCATGGGTAATGTTTTGCTTATTCCAAAGATGTGATGCCTAGGAAAGCACAGCGTTCTGCTTCAAGTAACTGAATTGTTTTGTTTTTTTTTTTAATTTTTTTGAGACAGAATCTCCCTCTGTCACCAGGCTCACTGTAATCTCTGCCTCCCGGGTTCCAATGATTCCCCTGCCTCAGCCTCCTGAGTAGCTGGAACTAGAGGCACATACCACCAAGCCCAGCTAATTTTTTGTATTTTAGTAGAGACGGGGTTTCACCATGTTGGCCAGGATGGTCTTGATCTCCTGACCTCGTGATCCACCCGCCTCAGCCTCCCAAAGTGCTGGGATTACAGGCGTGAGCCACCCTGCCTAGCCAGTAACTGAATTTTTTAAAAAAACTTTAAAAACATGTTTATATTGGTTATAGCTTTATAAATACTATATAGAGTTTTATGTTTAAACACACACATTGTGATTATACAACAAAGTGACTTTTTTTTTTTTTTTTTTGAAACAGGGTCTCACTCTGTTGCCCAGGCTGGAGGGCAGTGACACAGTCTTGGCTCGCTGCAACCTCCACGTCTCGGGCTCAAGCGATCCTCCCACCTGAGCCTCCCAAGGAGATTGGACCACAGGTGCAAGCCACCACGCCTAATTTTTCTCTATTTTTTGTAGAAACAGGGTCTCAACATGTTGCCTAGGCTGGTCTCAGAACGCCTGAACTCAAGAAATCTACCTGCCTCGGCCTCCCAGAGTGCTGGGATTACAGGTGTGAGCTGCCGTGACTGGTCAACTCTCATTTATTTATTTGTTTAGCAAATATTTATTATTTTATAGGTGCCTGGCATTGCTAGGCACTAGGGATACAGTAGAATACAAGAAGGGTAGGCATTAAATAATTATACAAATAAATATTTAAACTATATGAATGATAAATAAGCATAGGAGTCTAAGGTGAGCAAAGAGTGTTGACGGGAACAAAGAAAGTGATAGTGAAGCCGAGTTTGACAGATAGGAGGAAGAATAAGCTAGATTAGTGTTTCTCAATCTTTTTAGTCATCCTCCTTCCCAGCCCTCTTAGAGTCATTTTTCCCCCATATTGACCTCCAAAATTTTAATACCAGATATACACTGCATATCTGTTTATGCACTGTATGAGTAATTTTTTTTGCCCCCAGGAGCCAAATTTTGGTCCTCTGGGTGGATCAACATCACAATAAAAATGTATGGGCTTGATATGAAAAGGACTAACAGATAAGGTCCAGATAAGGAGAACAGCACCTATGAAGACTCTGAGACATATTTACAGGAGAGACGATGGCAAAATTTAATAATAAATGAATTCAGTTTTAGACATGCTGAATTTAAGGCACCTTTGAGATATCTCAGTGGCAATGTCAGTAGACAAGTGGAGATATGGGACTGAGGCTCAGAGGGAAGCATAAACCTACAAGGGAGGTCAAGAAGGGTGAACCAGTGATGTTAAGAAAAGAGGTATTTAAGAGGAAAAAACAGTCAACAGTGTCACGTGCTGCTGAGAGGTCAAGTCAGATGAGGACTAAATATATCCAACAGACAGAGTGAGCTGGAAACCATTGTATCCTCACCTGTTGACAGGGGTGAACGAAATAAATGTAACCCATGCAGACCCATCTGCTTGCCTCCAAAATCTATGCAGAATGAGAATCAGAAGAAGAAAAGTTAGGTTGTTGATCTTATAAAGCAAAAGTAAACATAATGAAAAATATTTTTTCCCAAAACAGTTCTCCATACCTGGTTCTGATAGTAAGGCTGATGATGTAAGTAAAATGAAAAACCCTCGATCTTCTAAGCATTTGATGATTGCCTTAAATAAAAAGGAAAAATTCAACTGAAGGAATATTCTGCAATCCCTCTCTTCTCCCTCTACCCATACTCATTAGTGAATATTGACCTCAAGAAAAGAAAAAATTCTGCAAATGTTATGGGAATCAGGGTAATTCTGTCCCCAGTATCAGAAACTTCAAGTTCCTTAGCTGAAATAATCTTGGCCCTGTTGGGTCTATATAAAATAACCAGAACATGAAAGGTTAGTTTTAGAACAGTGCTCAAGAACATGGCAGATCAATCAGAAAAGACTTATTTTTTTCACTGAGACAGCTGACATTTCATACCACTGCCTAAACAGCCAATATGTTACCATGTAGTCATTATAAACTCACGATGAATCAAACCTATAAGTAGCATCTTAAGCTCATATTTACATGAAAATTATCCCAAAACGCTGAATCTAAAAAGACTGCAAGATACCATCCAATAGAATACTTCTTTCTATGCATCTTAAGAAATGGAAAATAACAGAAAATAATCAAGTTCCAGGGCAACAAGAAATACAGATGAAAATAAATTCTTCCTCTCTTTTGTTCCCCTCTATTAGAGTCTTCAGTGGACTCTTGAGCTCAAGAAAAAAGTCTTGAAATTTTAATGCTTTCAGTAACTGGGGCAGTTTTGTCCCCAGGCAGCAGAAGTTGTCTAAAAGCTGTTGTTCTAAATCATGAATTTAATAGTTTTTCTTTTCCACTGCTTACCATTTCAAAAATCTATATACACATAAAAGATAAAATCCAATATTAGTACAATAATTTTTCAGTTAAACCACCTAAATAAAATATACCATTTTACAGAACATTTTATTTCAAAACTGAGAGGTGATAAGGCTACAAATATAAATCAATATATTATTTAATCACAATGAATATACAAAATAAGACTTTTTAAATTATTACATTACAATTAAGGTATGACACTAATATCTCACTCTCAAAAAGAATCACTGCTTTGAGTTTCAACAAGATTCTATGAGAGCCCCTATGTGTTGTATGTCACATGATGACTTACATATTTGTCTCCTCCATAGTCTCCTAAGCTCCTTGACTTACAGGAGCTATGATTTAAGAGCCTATTTCTTTAAGAGACAGGGTATCACTCTGTTACCCAGCCTGCAGCACAGTGGCACAGTAACAGCTCACTGCATCCTTGAACTCCCAGGCTCAAGCTATCCTCCCACCTCAGCCTTCGGAGTAGCCAGGACTACAGGTGCAGGCCATTATGCCTGGCTAGTTTAAAAAAAAAAAGTTTTTTAATTTTGGTAGAGATAAGATCTTGCTATGTTGCCCAGGCTGGTCTCAAACTCCTGGCCTCAAGCGATCCTCCCACCTTGGCCTCCCAAAGTAATGGGATTACAGATGTGTTCCACCATGCCAGACTTTAGGGACTACACTACTTTGTATCCTTGCTTCTTGCCCCTCCTGCCCAGTATGTGAATCAATCTTTTTTTTTTTTTTTTTTTTTTTTTTTTTTTGAGATGGAGTCTTGCTCTATCGCCCAGGCTGGAGTGCAGCTGCGCGATCTAGGCTCACTGCAAGCTCCGCCTCCTGGGTTCATGCCATTCTCCTGCCTCAGCCTCCCAAGTAGCTGGGACTACAGGCGCCCATCACCACACCCAGATAATTTTTTAGTACAGACAGGGTTTCACCATGTTAGTCAGGATGGTCTCGATCTCCTGACCTCGTGATCCGCCCGCCTTGGTCTCCCAAAGTGCTGGGATTACAGGCGTGAACCACCACGCCTGGCCGTGAATCATCCCTTTGTCCAGTGTATCTATGCTGTAGATGCTACCCACCCTCTGGGGCAATAGTAGTACTTCATAATGCCTGCACCACCTACCTCATTCATCACAAGGAGTACTCAAGTATAGCATAATAAATAAAATATTTTGAGATGGACAGTCCACACTCACATAACTTTTCTTACAGTATATTGTTGTAACTATTCCATTTTATTATTGTTGTTAATCTCTTACTGTGCCTAATTTATAAATTAAACTTTATCATAAGTATGCATGTATAGAAAAAAACACAGTATACATAGGGTTCAGTACTATCCACAGTTTCAGGCATCCACTGGGGGTCTTGGAACATATACCCCACAGATACTGTATTACATTAATAATATATAAATAAATATTAAACATGAAACTCCTTTCAGCACAACTAATATATATCTATATCGATCTATATCTATATATCTATATCTATATCTATCTATCTATCTATCTATATATATATATAATATATATATATGTGCCATCTAGGCACAACTAATATATATCAATTAAAGAAAAACATAATAATTATATTTTAAATTAGTGATGCTTACCAATTGCTTGTTTTTAATACATTCTGTTAATTTATCTATATTTTCCCCTTGTCTGTTTGACAGTTCTACCTCATACAAATTGAAGCACAAATCTTGAAAACAGACTGTAGAGAAAACCAGAAAAACATTTCTTATTTTTAATACGCTATTATGTACTTACAGTCAATTTGTTCATTTTATATGTTGCAAAAATGAAAGAATAGAAATACTACTCAGAAACCTTTATCATTTACTGTTCTTGGTTATAAAACTCCCTCATAAAACATCACCAAAATAGTTATTTTAAAACAATGCTCTTATTTATACTGACACTGCTATAGGATTAACAAGACAAATACAAATACTACATGAATAAACATCAGTGCTCCATGAATTAACCTAAATGACCAAGAAATTTCCTTCTCATGGTTTTTCTTTGAGTTTAAAAGTACCTCTATAAATAAAACCAACAAAAACTCTGTCCTCGAGAGGAATAGTTACAAGTTTCCAAATGCTTTTAATATCTGCTTGCTTAATTGCATCAGTATTTCTATATTAAAGCTAGCCTTTGTCATCTTAGATGAAACTACCTTTCAGTTTCTAGTTGGCCTCCAAGGAACTGAAGAAAATAGTAACTCTACAGCTTTCTTACAAAAGACTCTTTTAAGAGTCACTTATGATGAAACAGAAGTGTGCATGTGTGAGTGTTTGGAAGAGAGCAGAAAATAACCAGAACAAAGCCCAGGACAAGTAGCGTGTTATTACATTTCAACAGACCTTTCTCCTCCAAGTAATTCTGTTTTCTGAAGGCAGCCTCTGGTAGTCTTTTTTTCAAGGAAGACACTTTCATTACATATTTAAAATCTAGTTCCTGCGGTCTGAAAAACAACACAACAGTATCAAGCAGAATAATAAACAGTGGATCTAAATTTTCTTAAGTTTTGGTTTTCTAATATAAATGTAAACAAAAATATAACCACAAAAAAGACCTTAAGTTGATAAGCTCCAGGTTAAATAATATGTGTATTTTTAAGTAGTACAGATTTTCAAATATATGACCCATAAACCATGGTCTGCAAATATGTTCACATCTTCTCAATACATGTATTTTCAGTACAGACAAAGTATCTAGATGTGTCAAAAAAATTATGTATACAGGAATAAGGAATTAAAAAAAATTATGCTATTTATGAGTTATTTGCCAGGCACGGTGGCTCACGCCTGTAATCCCAGCAACTTTGGGAGGCTGAGGCGGGTGGATCAGAAGGTCAGGAGATGGAGACCATCCTGGCTAACTCGGTGAAACCCCGTCTCTACTAAAAATACAAAAAATTAGCCGGATGTGGTGGTGGGCGCCTGTAGTCCCACCCAGCTACTCGGGAGGCTGAGGCAGGAGAATGGCGTGAACCCAGGAGGTGGAGCTTGCAGTGAGCTGAGATTGTGCCGCTGCACTCTAGCCTGGGCGACAGAGCGAGACTCCGTCTCAAAAAAAAAAAAAAAAAAAAAAAAAAGTTATTTCCTGACTACTTTTTCCTTTTTTTGTGTGTGAGATGGAGTCTGGCTCTGTCACCCAGGCTGGAGTGCAGTGGTGCGATCTCAGCTCACTGCAACCTCTGACTCCCGGGTTCAAGTGATTACCCTGCCTCAGCCTCCCGAATAGCTGGGATTACAAGCATGCCGCACCATGCCCAGCTAATTTTTGTATTTTCAGTGGAGACAGCGTTTCACCGTATTGGCCAGGCTGGTTTCCAACTCCTGACCTCAGGCAATCTGCTCACCTCGGCCTCCCAAAGTGCTGGGACTACAGGTGTAAGCCACTGTGCCCGGCACTCTGTTTCCTTTTTAAAAACTCATTTTAAAATGCTTTTACACTTATACAAAAGTTGCAAACATAGGACAAAGAACTCTTTAATACCCTTCATCCAGATTTCCCAAATATTAACAGTATACCATGTTTGCTTTGTCATTCTCTCTCTCTATACACACGCATTATTTTTTTCTGAACCTTTTGGGAGTAAGATGCAAACCTGATGCCCTTTTATGTCACATACCTCTCTGTGTGATTCCTTTAAACAGGAAATTTTTTCTTTTCTTTTTTTGAGATAAGGTTTCACTCTGTCGCCCAGGCTGGAGTGTAGTGGCGCGATCTCAGCTCAATGCAACCTCCACCTCCCAGGTTCAAGTGATTCTCCTGCCTCAGCGTCCCCAGTAGCTAGGATCACAGGCACGTGCCACCACGCCCGGCTAATTTTTTGTATTTTTATTAGGGAGAGGGTTTCGCCATGTTGCCCAGGTTGGTCTCAAACTCCTGGACTCAAGCAATCCTCCTGCCTTGGCCTCCCAAAGTGCTAGCATTACAGACAGGAGCCACTGTGCCTGGCCCCTAGCAAATTTTCTTATACAACCCCAAAGCAATAAGCAAAATCAACACATTCACAATGATAACGATACTATGACTTAACCTACATCTTATTCAAATGCTGCCAACTGTCTCACTAAGTTCCTTCACAAAAAAAGAAAACAATTTCCAATCCAAGATGCCACAATGCATTCAGTAATCACGTCTCTTTAGTCTCCTTTAATCTGGAACAGTTTTTCAGTCTTTTCTTTACTTCAATGACTAGGGTATTTTGAAAAATATAGACGATTTTGCAGAATGCTCCTGAATCAGGATAGGTCTATCATTAACTTAACTGCTGAGTTAAGATGGTATCTGCCAGTTTACTCCACTGGTAAGTCTGCATTGTTTCCTTTGTGATTAATAAGCAAGTAGTGGGGAAATGTTGTAAGATATGCAAATACTATTAAACTTTCACCTGTTTTTAGCACACACTGGTTGATTATTATGGTGTTGTCAAATGCTGATCTTCTAATTTATCAATCTTTCCACATTTATTAGTTGCACTCTATAATGAGGAAGAACTTTCCCTTCTCTATTTGCTTATTCACATAATTTTTATGTTGTGGGTTATTATACTCCTACCTCTTCTTAAAAAAGGCCGATAGGAAAAAAAAAAATGAATCCTCACAACACATCAGTTTTCACCTTATAATTCAATTAAACTATGACTATTTCTTAATGGTTTTGGGTACAAACTAAGAACAGGATGAACCAAAAAGATTTCCTAAGATGTTCTTCACAGTTCCCCAGGAGAAAATATTAATCATGATAATTGCTTTTAATGTAAATACATGTAACAGCTATTCTAACATTTTTCTAAGAAAATCATGTTAAAATTTGAAAATCAGATACTGCAAATGTTAATAAAAATAATACGATTAAGTGGCTATAATCTGCTATATTTGCTATCAGGCAAATCTGATTTATTTCTTGGGGAAGGTCAAATTTCTAGTATCTAATAGTTTAATTTATCCCAAGAGGTCATTTTCCCATTAATAAATTAGAATTTAGGTTTACTATGTCATACCCTGTGTGCTATACATTTACCCAAATATACCCTCATCTAAAATCAAGAACAGTTGCTGTATTTTACACCAATGCCACCCTTGAAATGAGGTGAGGAAAAAAAACCCCAAAACTTGTAATATAAGCATTAGTAAAGGACATAACATTTAATACTTACAGCTGTGTTGGAATCATTGCACCGTAAGTGGACCAAAGAGCTATATCACATAGCATACGGTCTTGAACAATTAATTTCCCTTTCCATGGAGACATGAGAACTGAAGAAATGAAGGTAAAAAAGAAACTGATTATTTATGATGAAACATTTACTCAAGAAAAAAAAAACCTAAAAGAATCAATGAACTATTTCTTACCATTTTCACTGCGTTCAAGTCTAGCAGAAAAAGAAAGAAAAAGAACATGTTTACAAGAGTAAAAGGAACAAATTCAGTAAAACAAAGCATGCACATAATTACTTACATGCTTTTATGAGCTGGTGGTGCCATAGTTTTAGATTCCCTGTATCGAAAAGCTACAATTACATAAGGACAGATCTGTCTGGGTCGTTCAATAACGGTGTTGCCTGAAAGTTCGTAAAAGTAATACTGAAAGAGGAAAAATAAGTATTATCAGGGTAGCACTATGGAACTGCATATGTACCAAGTTTTTCTCAACCCCACCGAGCCCTGAAATTTAACACATTAGAGTCAGAAATATATCTTGGGTGTTACTCATTCACAGGTAACTATACCTGACTCAGTTCAAAGGCACGAAAATGACTCGTCTTGTTAGAAACCTTGTTAGTATTTTCAGACACGTGGCAATCATAGCCAGAAGATGGCTTAGTATAGTTAGTTGTATAATTCTCAGACACAAACTTGACTTTTCCCTAGAATGAAAATATTAAAACTAATCAGATGCCTTCGAATAGCAATAACCTTTACTCTAGGATTCATTTAGAAGTAGTCTAACAAGGATGCAGATATGTGTCCCCTAACAGTAACTGTATTAAGAACTATACTTCTTAGAAAAACAATTATCTTAAGGCCAAAAATAGTTTTGATTATCCATGAACCCTTAAAAATGGACTCAAAAATTTTGGACATTTGGGCGTCTGAGACAAATATCCATAGTTTTTATCACAATATCAAAGAAATATACGAATCACCCTAAATTTAAGAGAGCCATTTCCTTAAAAGAAAAACTATAGCCCACCATCTTTTATGTTACGGTCACTGAATGGCTCTTTGGTGACTGTAATGTAAAAGAGGACAAAATCTAAAATTTCAAAAGATGAGTTTCCAATCTGAACTATGATCAGTTGTAAATTATAAACTGAGATACTTCTATTATGACAGGGCCCAGCAAGTTAACAAGGAGCAAATATGTAGCAAAGTTCTTAGCAGGCAGCTGGTCCTGGTTGCTGAACAGTCAGCAGTATTTTCCATTACAGAGTTCTCTCCATCAAGGGTTACATGTCTCTCCAAAAAAAAAGAAAAAAGCAAGCAGCTGGGCACAGTGGCTCACAACTGTAACCCAGCACTTTGGGAGGCCGAGGCGGGCAGATCATGAGATCAAGAGATCAAGACCATCCTGGCCAACATGGTGAAACCCTGCCTTTACTAAAAATACAAAAAAATTAGCTGGGTGTGGTAGCGCGCGCCTGTAGTCCCAGCCACTTGGGAGGCTGAGGTAGGAAAATTGCTTGAACCCGGGAGGTGGAGGTTGCAGTGAGCTGAGATTGTGTCACTACACTCCAGCCTGGCAACAGAGCAAGACTCTGTCTCAAAAAACAAACAAACAAAAAAATAAAAAGCAAGTAAGCCAAGTTTACCATTATGATGAAATATGCAATGATTTTAAAAGCTGTTTTGAATAATACAATGACATAAGACAATGTTCACAAGATGTTATTAACTTATATCAAAATGGGATATGGGACTATAGGCAATTTTAATTTTTATAAGAAGAATATAGTTACTTTTTAAAAAAGAAGATGTTTTGTTGTTGTTTAAGTCCTGCCTCTTCATTTACAGACCCACCAAAGGCCAAACCACCAAGCCAAAAAATGTAAATAGTACTTATCAGTAACCAATCATCTCTACCATCTCCTCATCAAACATTTTATGGTTCTGGGTGCGGCTCGATTTTGTGAAATAAAATGAAGATTGAGAGCACAGAGGCCAAAACAGCAATCTCCAGCTAGTGGCAAGAAATCAAGGCTGAGGCATAATCTAAGTAAAAAACGAAATGCTTATTATCTGCATTAGTAGGCATACTTTCTGCAGCACTCATCGCAGAGCAAGAAAAGAAAGATTAAGGGAGGAAAACTAGTGATTGTACCTCAAAGCAATGTTACTCCCCCACCACTTTTTTTTTTTTTTTTTGAGACAGAGTTTTTTGTTCTTGTTACCCAGGATGGAGTGCAGTGGCGTGATCTTGGCTCACTGCAACCTCCGCCTTCCAGGTTCAAGTGATTCTCCTGCCTCAGCCTCCCAAGTAGCTGGGATTACAGGCACCCGCCACCACGTCAGGCTAATTTTTTTATACTTTTAGTATAAAAAGTGGAGACAGGGTTTCGCCATGTTGGCTAGGCTGGTCTCAAACTCCTGACCTCAGGTGATCCACCCGCCTCGGCCTCCCAAAGTGCTGGGATTACAGGCATGAGCCACAGAGCCTGGCCTCTCCCTCCGCTTTTTTGAGAACAAACTTTACAATATTAAGAATTCACAGGCTCTTGTTTTTTTTTTTTTTTTAATTAAAGGTCATTTAGTGCTAGGCTGATAACCAAAGAATTTAAGATAGTAACAAAGCTAAAAAAAAAAACAATAAAACGAGACCACAGAAATGTCCTCAAGAAGCCCAATCACATCTAAAATCAGTTTCCCTTCTGTTTGGGTGAAAATTCTAATTGCACGATTCACTTAACAGTACCATTTAGGACATTTAAGGATTTGTGGCATCATCAGTTCTAGGTAGCACATGAAGCTGTGAAGCTGGATGTCTTATGGAGAAAGAAAATAAAGATTCTATTGACCATTTAAATTAGACAATGAATGTTGTTTTCTAAATTCATCTTTTATAAGTGTAATCACATCACCTTATAAGCAGCTACTTGTTTTCTCTTATTTCATATTTAAAAAGTAGCTCTGACAGGTGAGAGGAAGATTTTTCCCTGCATACCCTTTTATTATTTTTGAAGTTAAAAAAAAGTTTACAATCTAGTAAATGAATCAAAGTTTTCTTTTTAAAGAAAAGGAAAAATAGTTTTGCTTTTCCTGAATTTGGATAGCTAACTTTGGTGAGAACTATGTTCAACTAATATCTACAGAGAATATCAAAGGTAGATAACCTTAAACTTTAAAAGGAAATCACGTAACAGCACATTTAAGCTTTACCTTAATTATATTAAAAATTACAACATAACCAGATTTCCCATGATACCATGGTCTTGAATGAAGACAGTCGGAGTATTTGGAAATGTATACACCTGTAAAAGTATAAAATATAGATTAAGCAGCAGATTGCCCATCAGACAGGAGAAAGTAGAAGCAAGAAGACCAATTAGAAAGAAAGCTACTGTGATAGTTGAGACAGGAGAGGAGGATTCCAACAAGGCAGCAGCAGTGAAAAACGAGGAAGAAAGGACAGGCTTCAGGGCTATTCCTCAACTGAGGCAACTCTTTCGAAACATAAGAGACAATGAGTGAGAAAACTGATACAGTGGAAGAGAGCGCTAATTCTGTGGTCAGAAGCTTGGGTTCCAGGTAAGAATAAGTCACTCAGGTAGGGAGGGTGGGCCTGGGTCACAGACACAAAGACCACAGGGTGCTCATGAAGATATAAAAGATCAATAAGCTTTAAAAACTATTATTAATTGAAAGTATTATTATACACAAAATTATCCAGTTCTAGTCAAGCCAAAAATTACAAAAGACATACAAGTAGTAGTGTTAATTTTACTATCAACCCCAGTGTATGTGTTTTTGAAGAATGTGTATTTGTCAGGAAAAATCCAGTTTCTACTTCCACCACTCTACTGAAGCCAGCCTCTCAAACATCAGCAATGAAATCGTAAGATTGTAGCAATGTAGGAAAACGTCTTTTTTTTTTTTTTTTTTGAGATGTAAGCTGCAGTGGTTATTTGTAATTTACTTTCAGATTCTCCAGAAAAAAAATTAAACAAATGAAGCAAATAATGCAATGTGTATGTTTATATTTATATATATATATATTTATATTTATATACATTTATATTTAGAGACAGTCTCGCTCTGTTGATCTCGGCTCACTGCAACCTCTGCCTCCCAAGTTCAAGCAACTCTCGAGTCTTGGCCACCTGAGTAGCTGGGATTACAGGTGCATGCCACCATGCCTGGCTAATTTTTGTATTTTTAGTAGAGACGGGGTTTGGCCATGTTGGTCAGGCTGGTCTGGAACTCCTGGCCTCAAGGGATACACCTGCCGTGGCCTCCAAAAGAGCTACGATTACAGGCATGAGCCACCGTACCCAGCCAATAATGTATAATATTATCTGCTAAACTTCGGTGGTAGGTATATTATGGTATGCTCTTTACTTTTATGTCTGAATTTTTCATAATGAAATGAGGGTGGGGTGAAAAAATAGGAGAGAAGAAAAAAAGCTGTATGCAGTGTTATCAGCGTTATGAATTTATCACTTTTAACGTCCCTTAGAAGATGAGTTGAATGTAAACTTTAAATTTTTTTGTTTTATAGTTATCATATGACCCAGTGGTTCCACTCATTATATATCGAAGATATATATAATTATGTCCACCCAAAAACTTGTACATGTATGTTCATAGGACCATTATTCATAATAGCCCAAAAGTAGAAATAACCCGTATGTCCATGAATTGATGAATGGATAAAGAAAATATGGTATGGCCACATAACAGAATACACCATTGTATAATATAACATTTTGGTCAACAACAGACTGCATAAAGTTTGGACAGTGATCCCGTAAGTTTGTAATACCATATTTTTACTGTACTTTTTCTGTTTTGATACACAAACACACACCACTATTTTATAACTGCCTGAAGTATTCCGTACAGTAACCTGCTGTACAGGTTTGTAGCCTAGGGGCAATAGGCTACACCATACAGCCTAGGTGTGTAGTAGGCTATGCCCTCTAGGTGTCTCTAAGTACGCTCTGTGATGTTCACATGAGTAAAAAATTGCGGCCAGGCAGGGTAGCTCACACCTGTAATCCCAGCACTTTGGGAGGCCAAGGAGGGCTGACCATGAGGTCAGGAGATCGAGACCATCCTGGCCAACATGGTGAAACCCAGTCGCTACTAAAAATACAAAAATTAGTTATGCATGGTGATGTGTGCCTGTAATCTCAGCTACTCAGGAGGCTGAGGCAGGAGAATCACTTGAACCAAGGAGTCGAAGGTTGCAGAGAGCTGAGATTGCGCCATTGCACTCCAGCCTGGTGACAGAGCGAAACTCCGTACCCCGCCACCAAAAAAAAAACCAAAACTGCCTACCAATGCAATTCTTGGAATGTATCCCCATTGTTAAGTGCTGCAGGACTGTATTATTCAATCATAAAAAGGAATGAAGTACTACTGGTTCATGCTACAATATGCCTTAAAAACATGCTAAAAGAAGTTACTCAAAAAATACCATATATGATATGATTCCACTTATATGAAATGTCTAGAATAGACAAATCTATAAAGGCAGAAAATAGACTGGTGGTTGCCTAGAGCAGAGATGGTAGAGAATGGGGAGTCACTGCTAATGGCCATGGGATTTCTTTTTTGGGTGAAAAAAATGGTCTAAAATTGACTGTTATGATGGTTACCCAACTATGGGACTACACTAAACAATGGGTGAATTCTATAATTGTGAATTATATCTCAATAAAGCAGTTTTTTTTTAAAAAAAAAAAAGGTCAGCAGGAATCTAGCCATGAAGCCCGATAATCTTTCTCAGTTCTGATCTCCACATTCTACATAGCACCTGGCACTAATAAAAAATACCCCTCTTCGTGAGATCTTTCTGCTTTCCGTGAAACTCTATTTCCTAAGTCTCCAGGTAACAGACTGCTCTTGACAATTCCTCGTTCTATCCTCGCTGTACCTCCCCACACCCTGGTCCCATTAATGACCCAAAAGTTCTGTTTTTGCCATCTTCTCTTTCCATGCCATCCCACTAACAATGTCTTAGCTTCAATTCACACCCCACTCCCACAACCCTAGCCCCAAATCTAGTTCTGATCCCTTTCCCAACTATATTTATGACCTATAGGCTATCTTTCAGAAACACTTATGAAAATCTCACTTTTTCTCAAATTCAACTCATAAAAGTAGTACTGTCCATTTACTGAGAACTTACTAGGTGCAAACTCCTGGGCTAAACACTTTCCAGTCTCACTGAATCCTCTCAACAACTCTATAAAGTAGTTTAATCTGTTTTACACATGAAGAAACTGAATCTTCAAAAAAGTTAGTGCTAATTCATTGTTCTTGACAATTAGATAATATTTTTATTTTTAACTCATCAGCTTCTCTACCAATCTGCTTCTCTTCTTATGTACCTCTTTTCTATTAATAATTATCACTGTAGTGTAAGTTTAAAAGCTTATATTTGATTATTTCCTCTCTTACCCCTCACATTCCATAGTTGCCAAGTTCGGTCAGCTCTATTTTCTATTCTTATTGCCATTGTGACAATTTAGAAGAGATTCTCAAGACAATACCAATCTCTTGACACTGAAAAATACTGTTAAGTTTTAGACTCAAATCTCATTCATATGTTTAAAGTTAGAAATCTAAACATTATGAACTGTTTGACATTTAATGAAACTGGCTTTTAATATACATATCTTATAAAACTAATGAAACCTCACTTCATCTTGTAAAAGAAGATTTTTTTTTAAGATTCTTTTTGCTTTACGGACTTACCTTTGGCTGGATCACCCAGAGTGGTAACAGCACTGCTGCCAACACGGAGTCCACACTGACATACCAATTTTGCCTTTAAACAAAAGATTACTTTGCTTCAGTCTTTGAAGCAATGAAAAAATGCTATAATCTGTAAGGTTTTTTTTTTTAATTTTATTTTTTATTATACAATAGAGACAAGGTCTCACTATATTGCCCAGGCTGATCTCAAATTCCTGGGCTCAAGCAATCCTCCCACCTCAGCCTCCCAAAATGCTGAGATTACAGGCATGAGGCACAACTGCATCTGGCCTAATCCATAAGCTTTAAAATAAATAGTCTGCTCACTGTAGGTATTCGGGGCACAAAGAAAACTTATGCAAAGCAATCTGTATTTTGATTAATGGCCCAAACTTTTCATAGAATTTTACCATTTCAATCAACAAAAATGTCAGGAAAACCAAACTAAGCAGGGTCACAGGTAAGTCCACTAGAAGATTTATTTTCCAACTACAGCTTTAGAAGCATGAAATTTCAAAATGTCTTGTTGCCAAATGTCATTTTTAGTAAGAACCCAGAGCGTGTTATTTGAATTCAGACGATTAAATTTCAAAAGGGATAAACTCTTCTGGTATTACTATATAGTCCTTATTATATGTTAGTGCTAATTATCCGCTAAACAAATCTGCCCCCCTTCTTTATAAACCATTAACCTAATCGAAGCACTAACTTTGAATTATTTTAGATCTCTGGTATTGTTTAAAATGTATCTCGGAAGCCATACATATCTTTGGAGACCTACCCTGTACACGGTCCTTTCCTTCTCCCATAATTTAGGTACAGGCAACAATACAGATTTCAGTCTTCAAATATTGAATGAAGCAATTTCAGTTAACCAGGATGCCAAAGTTTATTAAGTTACATGATTTATCTCCCAAATCAAATAACTTAAACCAGAAAAATTTCCACAGGAAACAAAGTTTCGATTAAACGATAATCCAGAATGGAAAAATATCCATTCACTCTAGTAAAGGCCATTATTGACACTAAAGAAAACTGTTTTAATCCAAATTGCACCCTAAGCTTACAAATGTATTTCAGATAAAACTAAAGAGAAACCGTGAAAAGTTGTAGAAATCAAATCAAATCTCCTTCATGACTGGCTTTTTTGTTGCTGTCATTTACATGCCACCAAACTAAGCAACAAAAAACACTGATGAATTGGTAATCTTACAACTCTTACAGAACTGAAGTACCACAATACTTAAGACTAATGATACCATTAATTTTCTACAACCTAATTCCCTTACCTGCTTTTCAGTATCAAACAGAAGAAACCCGTAAGTGTCTTGAAGTTCTTCCTGAGTATAACTACTTGCTTTTTTTTGTTGGTAAAAAGTTTTGTACTGTATAAAGAGAGAACAGAATAACCAAACGCTATAAACATACTATTTTGTCTTGCAAATTTTTAAAAATGCATCATTTGAATTCTTCCTGCCATTAAGACTAAACATAAATGCATTATTTTTCTATTCCCTAGAATAATTACCTTCCAAGTGACTATTTCCAAGGATCTGCTGCGTCTGAAAAATTATAGCTAAAAAGTGCTAGGCTTATATACCAAAAATGATGGGTTTACCTCTTTTAAAACTAAAACAAAACCATCATAGTGTGTACCAAGCACCTCACCTCATTTAAGAAAATGTCATTTTTCACCAAAGTCACTTGACTGTACTGAAAACCATGCTCAGATGAAGAGTCCAAGTAAGAAGTATGGAGGAGTGAAACTGCCCTCTGGAAGAGAGAGTCTGAACTCAAGGACACTGTCTCAAAAACTGTAAAACACAAACAAAAATAACGCAGCTATTTAAGATTCCAAAGGATGGGGTTAAGGGAGACACACTGAATATCACTCAAAACATCACCTATTCCTTTCCTATATAACTAAGAAATATTTGTACTGTCTTAACAAAATTTAAAAGACCTCTGATGTAAAGAAAATAACCTAAATAAATTAGAACTGAAGCTGAATTACTTTTAGTACAGGAGCTAAAATATGTCCTGCCAGACCTGGTATGTCTTTTGGTTGAAAGCTGTGTACTATAACTGTAGTTGGTCAAAAGTGGATACAACTGTAGTGTCAAGGTGGTGGTCAGGAGCTGCTTAGACTTTTAGAGCAATTTCTCATTCTTTAGTTTTTTTCATCCTTTGTTTCTATTCTTTTTTTTTTAAATATATACGCCACACTTGATAAACTTACTCTTTACATATTTTCATTAAATCCCTAAGTCAGCTAGGTCCCTTTTAAGGGACCTACTATTGCCCACTCACCAGACACAATAGAAATCATTGTATCTCTGGGATTTCCTCACCCGTCAAGAAGAGTCTATTGAGTTTTACTTCCTGTGAGTTGTATTATAAAATCACTTTCTTTCATTTTATACAACAGAGCTGTACTTACAATTTTTTGAAGGTGCTTTTTTCAAACCATACCCATGTGAGATAGCTTTGAGGGACTGTGATACACCCTTCCCATGAGAGGCACGTTTCCTAATTGAGAATTACCGACTGGATCCAGTAATTATGTTGACTGACTCTTTGTGCCTTTTGATTTTACAAGTCTCTACTTTAGCAAGAACTGAGCCTAATGACCTACGGACACTCTTGCATCTAACCATTTTAACTGTTCACTCTCCTATTTGTACTCTTTCTATTCTCTTTATTAAGGTTGGGGGGTTTTACAAACCTAGTATTTATAAACAATAAGGAGAAGAGAATGATTTATATAGCACTGGAAGTACTGGTCATATAGTATAAATGTTATGAAGTACAGTAATATGGCTTCCTACTTTTACCAAAACTGCCAAATGTATTAAAGTTCAAAAATTAAAGAGAAAAAAGAATCTCAATTAAAACTAACTTGTAAGTAACCAATATACAAAAACTAGACTATCTCAGAAATGAAAGCAAACATTTTAGTAAGCTAAATTTAGACTAAATTGTCCTAATACTTTAATTATCAAGGCATTTAAAAAATCTTTTAATAAACTTCCAAGTATCAAAATGAAAGACTGTAAATAGAAAAGAATGAAATGTTTACGAATATTCTGAAGTTGATATACATGATTTATATATTCATTCTAAGTTTTACTTTTACTTTTGCTCAGTTTCACTTTCTCCTTCAATATACCAGTGCTTTAAAAAATAGGGATATTCTGAATAGATGCAAATAGCAAAACACCAGTTATAAGAGTTAAAATTAAAGCTTTATTAGCTGCATTACTCAAAACAAACTGGCAAACCTGAGCATTTTCAAATTCATTTTACAAATAATCTGTACTGCTAGCCTAAACACAAATCAAGATTTCTTTAGAAACAATAATTTTGGGAACTTTATATTTGATATTTATAAAAAAGCAAGAAAGTTTCAAAATTGAATTACCTATAGACCAATATTTGAGAAACACATTGTTTACACTGAAAGAAATATTTTAAAAAGTAACTCTGGAAATGAAGACTGTGATTATCAACTTCTCTAAATTCTGTAAGTCATTAATAGGTAGGCACAGATTTAAGTTACATACGTCCTCATTTTTGAGCATCATAATGCACAATAATGAACTGAAAACTGAAGAGATGGTGCAATTAAAAACACTAATACAGGGTTTCCCAAATACATGGTCAGAGAACACTTCATTAACACCAGTGTGGGGAATACTGTTCCCTATATAGCTATAAATAAAGCCAATGATTTAAAACGAAGGAGGAGGAACAAGTACCAAATTATTTTTTGCTTATATATATTTTTATTTCCAGAACTATTTATTTATGGTTAAAAATGCTTCCACTTTAGGCCAGTATTCTTCAATATATAGCAGTATATGCATAAAAGCAGTGATTTTATGGTTAGCAGAGGTATGTTAAAAACAAAGTTGTTGGAAAATCATAGCTAATCTTAAATCTTTCATGGGTTCATAATGACATCAATTACACTCTCAAGAAAGCACAAGTTTCCTGTTCAGTAAATGAGGAGACAGATGAAAATTTCATCTAGAAATTTGACGCTCTCCCTTCTTTACAAAATACACTTTCATTTGAGAGTCCAATCAGTGCACCAAACAATACAAACACTTTATGAATGAATGGTCTCATAACTGCTGAGCAATGCTCAAGCTTTATTTAAACATTCAAGATTACCAGACTATGAAAATGAAGAGGGGGCTATACCACAAAGAAACCTAAAAATCTAAGACGGTAAAACTTGAAAAGTGCTTGCCTATAAAGCATTAAGTATATCCCTTAGGGCTTAAGTGATGAATAAAGAGCATGTGAGAAAGGTTAAATTCAATCACAACAGAGGAACATACGTGTTTTATGTTGCAATTTGAAAAGTTAATCACCTATTACTTTTGGACTAATGATTATTTTAAAAAATATAGGTACTGGAAATCATAATTTTTTAAAGTCTTTTTGTTTTACATGATCTAAATTAAAACTAAAAACATTTTAATCATTCTATTCTGGATTCATTAGTTATGACTTATAGCACTTAGTTTAATACCCACTCTTTTCTGATAGGGACCCTGTCTCGATCTTCTCTAAGAGAGAATGTAGCTGGGAGGGTGGTCTTAATTCATTTTCACCAAGTATACCCTCAGAATTCTTGACATAGTCCTGTTCTCTGTTAATGTCATAAATGCTAAAATGAAGAAAGAAAAAAAATCATAAAGTGAACAATTCTATTTATAGCATATTTACTATAGAAACAAATGTTCGCTGAGTAATTTGTATTAGGAATAATTATGTAATATTTATTTACCTCCTTTGACAAGTATTCTCAGCTAAGGACTTAATTTGTTCTATAAGCTATAACACATAATCTGAAATGTTTTTCCTCCAAAAGTCTTTAACTTCTAAAGAAAATTTTGTACACAGAAATATATTATGCTTAATCGCTTTTGCCTTACTGAAAAAAAATCTTTCAAAATGAAGAGATCACAGAACCACATCTTTATTCCACTAGTTGAAAATAACGGAATCAAGCAGAACACAATTTACAAAAATCTCTCTCCTCCCCCAAATTAGTTGTATATATATTCATTAAACAAAACTATTAGTGGTGACTATTATGCATCCAATATCATGCTAAATCTTGGATTTATCAAGACAAATGGCAAACAGTCTCTATTACAGGGAAACAGGCTCTACATTAAAAAAGTTCAGATTAGGCTGGGCGAGGTGGCTCATGCCTGTAATCCCAGCACGCCGGGAAGCTAAGGCAGGCAGATTGTTTGAACTCAGGAGCTTGAGACCAGCCAGGGCAACAAAGTGAGACCCCACCTCTATAAAAAATACAAAAATTAGCCAGGCATGGTGGAGTGCACCTGTAGTCCCAGCTACTTTGGAGGCTGAGGTGGGACGATGGCTTGAGTCTGGGGGGAAGAAGTTGCAGTGAGCTGAGATTGCACCCCTGAACTCCAGCCTGGGTAACAGAGCCAGACCATGTCAGAAAGAGAGAAAGAGAGGAAAGGAAAGAAAGGAAGGAAAGGAAGGAAGGAAGAAAGGAAGGAAAGGAAGGAAGGAAGGAAGGAAGGGAGGAAGGGAGGGAGGGAGGGAGGGAGGAAGGAAGAGATAGAGAAAGAGAGAGAAAAGGAGAGAAAGAAAGAAAAAGAAAGAAAGAAAGAGAAAGAAAGGAAAGAAAGAGAAAGCAAGCAAGTTAGCTCAGAATAGACAAGGAAGAAAAATCTGCAAAGAAATTAGTACTATAAATGTGTAGGAGTATCTAAAACATGATATAGTGGATGTACAGTGATACAACCAATTTTATGGAGATGGAGCTATGTCAAGAAAGATTTCATGGAGGCACAGATACTTGAAATCTGGAAGATATTCCAATGAGGAAGCCAAAAAAGGAAACTAGTGTACATTTTCTAGATAGCAGAAATAGTATGAGCAAATGAACAGCGGTTTAAACATGATACATTAAAGGAACTGCAAATAGTTTAATATGACTGATTAAGGGAAGAAGGGAGAGAAGAATAAGAACGAAGAAAAAGATTACAAAGGTGGTCAAGTTTTCAGTTTTTATCATGAGTCTGTGGAATAAGGATTTTCATATGCTTCACAAAAACAGCATGTATAGTTTTACAGCACATTTTCCCCCCAAAAAGAACTGGAGGTAGAATTGTGTGGATACATTCAAAATTTTTTAGGAAAAGTAGCTATGTTGATAATAATTCATGAAGGAGGTTGTTTATGTAGGGGAAAATTAGGAATAGGGAGACCAGGGTTCTGGTCTACCTATTGAACTCACTAGGTGCTACCACTAATGTGTTTTGAGACAGTGGTTAAAGACACATTGGATTGACTTCCCAACAATCATGTCCCTTTTACTTCCCTTCCATAAAACCACAATTTTGTTCAGGTATCAGGTTATCCCATGGTTCAGAAGAAGTGTGTGTGTGTGTGTGTGTGTGTGTGTGTGTGTGTGTGTGTGTGTGTGAAAATGAGTGAGGGAGAGTGAGTATGTGTGTGTGTGGGGTTGGGGGGGGAGACAGAGAGAGAGAGAGAGAGAAAGAGAATGAGAATCTTAATTACTCTAAGATCATTATGGTAATTCCACTCCCTTTGAATAGTGTTTGTTTTAGGAATAAACATGTGACTCAGTTCTGGCCAGTGAGATATAAATGGAAGTCTACAGAGAGAGTTCTGGGAAACCTTTCTTAGAAAAGGACTCCATCTTCTAGCCTAGGATCTTGTCTGAAGATGTGTTGCCTGGATCTCCTTGCAACCAAGATGGCAGCCAACATAGAACGGAACAGAACAGAAAGAAACTAGATCCCTGAACTGATGAAATAAACTAACCTGGGGGCTGCCTCATCTTTGGGCTTTATACATGAAATAATAAATGTTCCTTATTGTTTAAACTTTTATTGGAAGCTGAAGACATACTAACTGATGGATTTTGTTAAATTTATACTCTCTAAGGCCTCCTTTAGTTATAATTGCCTTTCTAAAGCTCCTTTCAGTTGTGACTCTACAAGGAACTTTACTGAAGGCTTGCTGTGCATGAGGCATGGTGCACTGGCATCAGATAACTTAGCAAATTCCTTTTTTCTTTGCTGCCATGGATAGAGACGTTATCCTAGTATTTGTTAGCAAGGAAGCTATTGTTATTAATGATAACAATGGCTAACATTTGTTGGGTGCTTACTTTTTTTTTTTTGAGACGGAGTCTTGCTCCGTGGCCCAGGCTGGAGCGTAAGTGGCTTGATTCTGGTTCACTGCAACCTCCACCTCCCGGGTTCAAGCAACTCTCTTGCCTCGGCCTCCCGTGTAGCTGGGATTACAAGTGCCCAGCAACATGCCCGGCTAATTTTTGTATTTTTAGTAGAGATGGGATTTCACCATGTTAGCCAGGTTGGTCTCGAACTCCTGGCCTCAAGTGATCTGCATACCTCGGCCTCCCAAAGTGCTGGAATTACAGGCATGAGCCACCGTGCTAGGCCTAGGTTTCACTACTTAACTGTATGTATTAATCATTGCTGAGCCATACTGTGTAGTCAAGTTCTTTCCTTATACCGTGTTTTGCTTTTCTGAATTTAAAATAGCTTAATTTTCAGTTACCAATCATTATTTCAGCTTGAAATTCTAGAGAACTAACAATATCCTCTGGATAAAGATAGATCAAAGATTTTGTCTGTTTTGAGCAGCTTCTTTTCTTTTTTTTGGAAGGACCTTTCTGGAGCACTATGTCTTCCAGCTTCAATCTGGGCTTGTGCCCTCTGATATTACTGCCTGGCTTTCTAACTTTGCTGGGGGATGTTAAGACACAAAATTGATCTACAGATTCAACACAATCTCAGTTTGCAGAAACTGATGATCTGATTCTAAAATTTATATAAGAAAGATATAAGCCAAAACAATTTTGAAAAAGAACAAAGCTGAAGGACTCACTACCTGATTTTGAGAATTACTACAAAGCTAAAGTAGTCAAGACAAGGTGGTAATGATACAAAGAAAATGCATATAGATCAATGGAACAGAATAGAGTCCAGATAACAGATTTTCAATATTGCCAGTATAATTCCATTGAGAAAGAATATCTTTGCAATAAATGCTGCTACAGAACAACTAAAACGGAGGAAAAAAACATGAACCTCAAACCTCTACCTTAAACCATAAAATTTAACTCAAAATGAATCACAGACCTAAACATAAAAACTATAACTATTTGGCTAAAATTATAAAATTTAAAAAATCATAGGAAAAAATGTACTTGACTATGGGGTACATAAAGTTTTCATAGGGCACAAAATTAGTGACCTAGAAAAATGTATACATCAGACTTCCTAAAAATTAAAACCATCTGATCTTCCAAGGTATCATTATTAAGAAATGGGAAATATTTGTAAAGTACCTGTACCTAGAATATATAAAAAACTCATAGACACATTTCACAAAATAAAGCATATAATAAAAAGAAACATGGGAAATGGGTCAATATTATTAGTTATCAGGGAAGTGCTAATTAAAACCACAATAAAATACTACTGCTCCAGTAGAATGGCTAAAAAGACTGAAAATACCAAGCGTTGGCAAGGATGAGGAGCCTCTGGAACACTCCTAGTAGAAATATAAAGCCAACTGAAAAATTATATAGCCAATTTAAAAAATAACATCAGTTTCTTATAAACACATACTTACCATATGACCCAAAATTCTATTCCTAGATATTTACCCAAGAGAATAAAACATATCCACAAAAACACTTGCACATGAATGTTCAGAGCAGCTTTTTCACAGTAGCCTAAAACTGGAAGCAACTCCAATATTCATCAATAGGTGAATGGATAAACTTGTATATTCACACATAATAATAATCAGCAATTAAAAAAAGTAAAACTGATATATGCATGCATCTCAAAACATTAAACTGGGCAAAAGTCATCAGACACAAGAGTACATACTGTAAAATTCTATACATATACAGTTCAAGAAGCAGCAAAATTAATCTATAGTGATAAAAAGCATTTCATTAGTTGCCTACAGCAGGGGGCAGGAATAGGAAAATTGACTACAAGTGGGGTATGCACAAGGGAACTTTCTGGGGTGATGGACACACACTATTTTTATTGGTGTAGTCATCACATGGTATATACATTTACCAAAATTCACTGAACTATATACTTAAATTATGTTCATTTTATTGTATGAAAATTAGACCTCAATGAAGTTGAGCTGAAAGCCCCAAAACAAAACCTAATGGTTATGAATTTGGCCACAAAGGAAATTCCAAGAGTACTAAAAAACAACTGATCTCTGACCAAAATCAAGTAAAATGACAATGTAACCATAAAAAGTTAATCTCAAAAGCCTCATGTTTGGAAATTTAAATTTTAAAAATCCTACATATAAATGGTTCATAAGTTAAAGAGTAACATGATCTAAGCTTAAGATATTATCTAAAATAGCTATAAGAAACTGTTCATTTCAAATGTATACACTACAAAAGAAAAACATTTAAAGAATCAATAAGCTACGGTCAATTCAAGAACTCAGAAAATGGAACAACACAGTAAACCCAAAGCAAATAAGAGGAGGAAATAAAAAGAGAAGATCAGATATTAATTAAACCGAAGAAAAAATAGCTGAAAAAAGATTAGCTTTTTGACAAAAAATATTGATATATCTTTAGTCAAATTAATCAAGGACAAAACAAGGCACTGAAAACCAACATTACAAATAAAAAGGAGTGTGATTTATATGTACTATAAATTATAAGGGTAATAGAAACAATTTTTATAGAAAAAATTGAAATCATAGAGAAAACAGGGGAATTTTCCAGAAATAATTTATCAAAACCTACTTAAGAAAACAGAATATACCTACAACTATTAAATAAGTGGTAGAGTTAGTTGTTATAGGTATGTAAGTCTCAAGCCCAGAAGTTTTCCCACATAAACATTATTCTCAAGAATAAAAACTTTCTTTTTTTTTTTTTTTGAGATGGAGTCTCACTCTGTCACCCAGGCTGGAGTGCAATGGTGTGATCTCGGCTCACGGCAACTTTCGCCTCCCAGGTTCAAGTGATTCTCCTGCCTCAGCCTCCCGAGTAACTGGGATGACAGGCGCCCACTACCAGGCCCAGCTAATTTTTGTATTTTTAGTAGAGATGGGGTTTCACCATCTTGGCCAGGCTGGTCTCAAACTCCTGACCTCAGGTGGATCCACCCACCTGGGCCCCCCAAAGTGCTGGGATTACAGGTGTGAGCCACCACGCCTGGCCAAGAATGAAAACTTTCTCAAATTATAAGTCTAGCACAACCTTGAATGAAAACCCAGAAAGGAACAACTATAAAAGAACATTTTAAGGTAACATCACCAATGACAACACATGCAAAAAAATCTTAAATAAAAACATCAGAGGCCGGGCGCGGTGGCTCACGCCTGTAATCCCGCACTTTGGGAGGCAGAGGCGGGCGGATCACGAGGTCAGGAGATCGAGACCATCGTGGCTAACACAGTGAAACCCCGTCTCTACTAAAAATACAAAAAATTAGCCGGGCGTGGTGGCGGGCGCCTGTAGTCCCAGATACTCGGGAGGCTGAGGCAGGAGAATGGCATGAACCCGGGAGGCGGAGCTTGCAGTGAGCCGAGATTGTGCCACTGCACTCCAGCCTGGGTGACAGAGTGAGACTGTCTCAAAAAAAAAAAAAAAAAAAATCAGAAAAACCTAAACTAGCAATATATATAAAATATAAAACAACATGATTGAGATAAAGCTTATGCCAGGAATTCAAGGAAGGAAGGTGTAACATTAGACAATTTATTCATAAAATTAATCATACTGAGAGATTTAAAAAAACCTATGCCTTATTAGACATAAAATTCAACAGCCACTTGTGACTAAAAAGAGAATTCATAGTAAATAGATTACCTGATAAACAGATATCTAGAAAGCAGCCTATATATATAATGGTGAGACATTAAAGTACTCCCTTTAAAATTAGGAAGACTATGATCCCTAATATGATCTTCTAGTTAATTATTGAGAATTTAGCAGTTCATTCCTTTGCTGAAGTTTCCTTTTTCATTTACTGATTAGCTGGTATCTGTCTTCTAGATGTTTCCTCAAGAAAGGCTCATATAAAAAGATGTAAAACCCTGAATGTTTAAAACTACCAGCCAGTACATAGTCTTTATACCCAAAGGACACCTTGGCAGCACAAAAAAATATTTGGCTCACATGTTCTTTGAGTAGCTGACATGTAGTTCCTCTACTATTTTCTGGTATTGAATGTTTCTGTTATTCTGCACCAACCTGATTTTCTTTATATGATCTTTTGCCAGTTGAAATTTTTTACCAGAATATGTCTCAATGTTGCGCCAGTTTTCCCTGGAGCATGTTGTGTCTTTTCAATAGATTTAAGTCCTTTCTTTAAGGAAAAGAAACATCTTAAATTATACTTTAAATTATGTATTCTACGGAATCGGTTTTCTTTTTTGGGGCTCCAGTTTTGCCCGTTTTGGATCTCTTTTGGCTGTCGTATCTATCCTTACTTACCAAAAAAAAAAAAAAAAAAAAAAAAAATGACCATTTTAGTAATGAGATCAAAGCTATAATAAAAACTCTTCCATTAAAGAAAAGCCCAAGACCTTATAGCTTCACTGCTGGATTCTACCAAACATTTAAAGAGGAACTAATATAAATTTCTATTTGAACTCTTCAAAAAATTGAAGAGGAGGAAATATTTCCAAACTCATTCTACAAGGTCAACATTACTCTGATACTAACACCAGAGGAGACAATGAAGAGAAAACTACAGGCCAATATCACAGATAAACATAGATGCAAAAATTCTCAATATACTAGTAAATCAAATTTAAAAACACAGTAAAAAGATATTTGCCATGATCAAGTGGGATTCATCCCAGGGATGCAAGGATGGTCCAACATGTGCAAATCAATAAATGTGATATATTAACAGAACTAAGAACAAAAACCATGATTACTTCAACAGATGCTGAAAACGCATTTAATAAGATTTAACATCTGTTTATGATTTTAAAAAACCCTCATCAAACTGGGTATGGAAGGAACGTATCTCAAGTAATAAAGGCCATATATGACAAACCAATAGCAAACATCATCCTGAACAAGGAACAATTGAAAGCCCTTCCTCTAAGATATGGAACAAGACAAGGATGCCTACTTTCACCACTTTTATTCAATATAGTACTGGAAGTACTGGGCAGAGCAATTAGGCAAGAGAAAGAAATAGAGGGCATCCAAATCAGAAAAGAAGAAGTCAAATAAGCCTGTTCACAGATAACGTGATCTTATACTTAGAAAAACCTGGACTCCACCAAAAAAATTGTTAGAACTGATAAACAAATTCAGTAAAGTTGCAGGATACAAAATCAACATACAAAAATCGGTAGCGTTGGTATACACCAACTGCAAGCAATCTGAAAAAGAAATCAAGAAAGCAATCCCATTTACAATAGCTACAAAGAATATAACATACCTAGGAATCAATTTAGCCAAAGAAGTGAAAGATCTATACAAGAAAAACTATAAAACAATGATGAAAGAAATTGAAGTGGACATTAAAAAATAGAAAGATACTCTATGCTCAGGGACTGGAAGAATTCATATTGTTGAATACTACCCAAAGCCAATTTACAGATTCAATGCAATCAATCCCTATCAAAATTCCAATGACATTCTTCTTCACAGAAATAGAAAACAAATCCTAAAATGTATATGGAACCACAAAAGATCCTGAATAGCCAAACCAATACTAAGCAAAAACAACAAAGCTGGAGGCATCACACTACCTGACTTCAAAATTTACTACAAAGCTACAGCACTGGCATAAAAACAAAACACAGACCAAAGGAACAGAACAGGGAACCCAGGTGTAAATCCATATAGAGCCAACTCATCATCGACAAAGGAGCTAAAACATACAATGGGAAAAGGACAGTCTCTTTGATAAACGGTGGTGGGAAAACTGGATAACTACATGCAGAAGAACAAAACAATCTGACCATATACAAAATTCAAATCAAAATGGATTTAAGACTTACATCTAAGCATCTAAGACCCAAAACTATGAAACTACCAGAAGAAAACACTGGGAAAACACTCCAGGATACTAGTCTGGCCAAACTTTTTTTGTTTAAGGCCTCAAAGGCACAGGCAACCAAAGCAAAAATAGACAAATGGGATTACATCAAGCTAAAAAAAAAGCTTCTGCACAGCAAAGGAAACAATGAAGTAAAGAGACAACCCACAGAATGGGAGAAAATATTTGCAAACTACTCACCCGCCAAAAGATTAACAACCAGAATATATAAGGAGCTCAAACAACTCAACAGCAAGGAAGCAAGCAAGCAAGCAAGCAAACACACACACACACACACACAGACACACCCCCACAAATAATCCAATTAAAAAACAGGCAAAAGATCTGAATAAACATTTTTCAAAAGAAGACATAAAAATGGCCAAGAGGTGTATGAAAAAATCCTCAACATCATGAATGATCAGAGAAAAGCAAATCAAAACTACGAGACATCATCTCGCCCCAGTTAAAATGGCTTTTACTAAAAGGACAAGCAATAATGAATGCCGGCGAAGATATGGAGAAGGGGGAACCCTTATACACTGCTGGTAGAAATTTAAGTTAGTACAGCCACTATGGAAAAGAGTACAGAGCTTTCTCAAAAAAATAAAAACAGAACTACCATATGATCCAGCAATTCCACTACTGGGTATATATCCAAAAGAAAGAAAATCAACATATCAAAAAGACATCTGCACTCCCGTATTTACTGCAACACTATTCACAACAGCCAAAATATAAAATCAACCTCAGTGTCCATCAACAGATGAATAAAGAAAATGTAGTATACACAATGCAATATTATTCAGCCATAAAAAAAAAATAAAATCCTGCTATTTTCAGCAACACTGATGCAACTGTAGGTCTTTATGTTAAGTGAAATAAGCCAAGCACACAGAGACAAATATCACATACTCTCACTCATATGTGGAAGCTACAAAAGTGGATTTCATGAAAATAGAGAGTAGATTTGGTGGTTATGAGAGGCTGGAAAGGGTAGGAGGAAGGAAGGAATAAAGAGAAGTTGATTAATGGGTATAAATATATGGTTTGATAGAAGACCTAGTGTTAGATCAGTAGGTTGACTGTAGTTTACAATCTATTATATATTTCAAAATGAATAGAATTTGAGTGGTTCTAGCACAAAGAAAAGAGAAATATTTAAGGTAACAGATGACCCAACTACACTGACTTGATCTCTACAAATTATATGACTGTATTATCACATGTATCCTAAAACTGTGTACATCTATTACGCATCAATAAAAATAAATGTGTACCTGTTTTACTCATTTTTCTCCTGTCTATCTTTTGTTTTCTTTCTTTGCATTATCAAAATTGTGGTAAAATATACTTACCATAAAATTTCATTTCTACTTTTATGATCTTTGCCATGGTGTCTAGTCTCCCTTGTGTACTTCTGAAATGGCTTGATCATTTTTCTCTATTTCTTTTTTTCTGCTGGTTCCCATTTCACACTCTACTGTTGTCTGGCTGTCTCTTCCTTGAGTTCTTGTATTTCTTCTTTCCAGTAGTTCTCCGTAACTTCTATGCTTCATTAATTTTATTTTCTAATACAATGTTGAGATATAATTCATACGGCATACAATTCACCCACATAAAGTGTACAATTCAATTGCTTTTAGTATATCCACAGAATTGTGCTTAGTATATCCACAGAATTGTGCAACCTTCACCACAATCAATTTTAGAGTATTTTCATTATCCCCAAAGAAACCTTCTACCCCTTAGCTATCCTCCTCACCCCTCACTGGTTCCTAGGCCTAGGAAACCATAATTTACTTTCGGTCTCTACAGATTTGCCTATTCCAGACCATTTCCTATAAACAGAGTCATACAGCACGCGGTCCTTCATGATTGGCTTCTTTCACTTAGCCTGTTTTTGAAGTTCATCCATGTTAAAGCATATATCAATATTTCATACCTTTTTATGCCAAATAATATTCCACTTTGTGGATATACTACATTTTGTTTATCCATCAACTGATGCACATTTGGGTTGTTTCTACATTTTGGCTATTATGAATAATTATGCTATGAGCATTCATGTATAAGTTTTTATGTGAACATGTTTTCATTTCTCTTACGTATATACCTTAGAGTAGAATGGCTTGCTCTTCCAGTAAATCTGTGTCTGCTCATCTGAGAAACTGCCAGGCTGATTTCAAAGTGGCTGCACCATTTTATATTCCCACCAGCAGTATACAGAAGGTTCCAATTTTTTCACAGCATTACCAACACTTGTTATTATCTGTCTTTTTGATTACAGCTATCTTAATGGGTATGATGTGGTATATAAATTTATTTTAAAATTTGTATTAAAACCTTAGGTCACATTTTCCATCTACTTCAAAAGGTCAGCAAACTTTTTCATAAAGGGTCAGAAAATAAATACTTTAGGATTATGAACCACACGGTCTCTGTCACAACTACTCATCTCTACCGGTAGAGCATAAAAACAGCCATAGAAAATGCATAAATAGGAATGACCATGTCCCCATATAACTTTATTTACAAAAATAGGCAAGACCACAGGCAGTAGCTTGACCACTTGTGATTTATTTTCTGCTAATATTGTTTTGAAAAATATCGTCTGTAGAAAATTGTGGTTTTTCTCTCTCTTTTTTTATTTTTAATCATATAACTGTTCGGTTAACTAATGTTTATTAACAGACCATCCTGAAGTTCACTGGCTTACAACCACAATCATTTTTTTATCACTCACATCTCTACAGTGTTCATTGAATTCAGCTTAACTCAGCTGGGGTGGCCCTCACTCTCCTATCTCTCATCTTCCCTCAACCAATGAGCTAGCAGAGACATGTTTTTCTCATGGAAATGGCACAGATAGAAAGAGAACAAATAAAAATACCCAAGGCCTCTTAAGGCTTAGGCTTGAAACTGATATGTTATCACTTTTACCTTAGCAAGTCACATAGCCAAACACAAAGTCAAGGAGTAGGGAAATATCTCTGTCACTTTAATGAAAGGAACTGCATAGGGTCATGGAGTGAACATAAGGAAAAGTAAAGCACTAGGGTCAATAATGCAATTGGTAGTGGTGATCATTGCACAACCTTGGGAATAAATTAAAAGCCAGTCAACTGTACACTTTAAAATGGTGAATTTTATGGCATGTGAATTATATCTTCAATAATAAAAATAATATAAAAGAACAAAAAACCAACATAAAACATAAAAAATACCATCTACCAGACAGTCACTGTATGGATGCTGTACATACTATTTTTGTTATACATGTCTGAATGAGATGAATTATCCTGGACTGTTATCAGAAGATTCAGGGTGTAGGGAGGGGTAGGGCACTTGTCATGTTTCTTTAGGGTTCCCTCTGTTCCTAAATCAGAGGACTGCTGTTTTATAATATGGTGCCTTGTTCCTTATCTAATCTCCAAATGTAATCTGGTTCAGGAGGGCCTTTATTGCCAGCTCTGCTTGCCTCTTAGAGACACAACCCTTGCTTTCCAAGGTTATGCACTCATTTCTAGGAGTACTTTATTAGCACTAAGATCTCTGCCTCCCCCATGCCCCACCCAGGCACTTTCTCATTCTGCTTTCTCCTTCCTTGATACCATATGGCTCCTCAGTCTTAGCCAGGTATACGAGACTTCTCTCTTTGGATAGGGCTGATTCTGGATATGAATAAGTTGCTGGAGATACCTGAAATATGCTTCTTCTGCGCAACTTTATCTTTGTCACAGAACTGTTGGAACTTCCCACTGGGGATACCTAACAGCACTTGCATACAATTTAAAGTTAAGGTTTCCTTTTTCCCTGAATTTGTTAAAATGCAGTTTAAGAGCTAGCACCTCGTTCTCTGCCCCCATTCTTCTTTTCAGAAGTAGGAAGAAAATCAATCTGGTCTTGTTCCTTTTGGAACTATACATTCGGTACAATGAAGTTTTGTTTATTTTTTGTTTGTTTCTGTTTTATTGATCAGGGCGCTTAATAGGCCCTTTCAACCTAGAAAGTCACCTTCTTCAGTTCTGGGACACAGATAGTTTCCTTCCACTGTATTAGATGAAGAACCTCCTTGGTTGGCCCTCTAATTTTCTCATCATTTCACTCTTATTTTCTAATTCTTGTGCTCTTCTGGTTTTTTGGGGAGAATTCTTCAGCTTTATTATCTAAACCTTGTATTAAATTTTTAAGAAATTTCTTCTGTCGCAGCAGTTTTTTTTATATAAACTTTTTCATCTTTCACAGATGTAATATCTTCTCTTTAAAGATACTAGTTTTATTTGTTGAAGTTTCTTCTGTTCCCTGAAGTAAATCTATTTATACTCAGCTCCTTTTATTTCCTACTTGGTCTCTTTTTCATTAGAGACTTTCATTCTATGGCAGGCGACCCTTGGCTGTACATTTATACTCAAATGTGAGGCATTTAAAAGCTGACTAGGGCCAGGCACCAGTGGCTCACACCTGTAATCCCAGTACTTTGGGAAGCCAAGGCAGGAAGATCACAAGCCCAGGAGTTGAAGACCAGCCTGGCAACATAGTGAGACCCCATCTCTACAAAAAATAAAAATATCAGCTGGACGTGGGGGCATACGCCTGTATTCCCGGCTACCCAGGAGGCTGAGGTGGGAGGATGGCTTGAGCCCAGGAGTTCAACGCTATAGTGAGTTATGATGGCGCTACTGCACTTCAATCTGGGTGACAGAGTGAGGCCCTGTCTCAAAAAATGAAATAAAAGTTGACTAGAAGCTGTGGTACGTGAACAATGCTTCCTGACCAGCGGCTGTACTCTCCAGGTGATCTGATGGATCCAACTGTTCAATCGGGTGAATTTCCATAGTTCATATCTGTTAAATACTGTGCCATGGGCTGGTAAGTTTCCCCAGCTAAGAATCCGTTAATGTTTTGTTGAGGGGCACGTAAGCCTGATAGTTTGGAAGCCAATCAAAAAAAGACAACCGCTCTAGGTTCAGCATGTTGACCTGACTTTCACTCAATCCTCATTTTCATTTAGGTGCTTCACCCCCACCTTAACCATCTGGAGCCTCCTAGTCTCCTGGGTATAAACCTTCAGTCTTCCGTCAAGGTAGAGGAGAGAGTAGTTGTCTGGGTGTGTGGGAGTGGAGAAGGGGTTCCAGGGTATCAAAATGATAAAGACCATCAACCAACCCTTCTATTCCCACCCCATCCTGTAATTCTTGACTTCAGAAGTCCTGTACTTGATACCCCCAATTCCTAAAACTTTTCCAGATTCTGTGGAAAGAATCTGCTTGCTCCTTGCTGGGTTACCTCTCTTCAGCTTTCAGCATTCTCTAATTCATGAAATCATTTATTACTTGCCCATCTCCTTTCTAGTTTCCCAAATACTGATTTCAGCTATATCTTCCTCTCACCTCCTCTTGATCTTTGTGGATTTATATCCTTATTCTTTTACTATAATCTTAAGAGAGACTTCCAAAGAGTGTATACAATTGAACATGTTAGACTAAAAGTGTCTACTTAACCTGTCTTAATTTCTACCATTAAAAAATGATGCAGCTACCTCCTACAATGGTAGCTACTATTGCCATTATTTTATATTTTGTGTAATTATGAAGACCTCATTTTACTAATGCACCCACCACAGCCCTAATTACACACCAAATCAATACATACTAATTTAAATAATTAGCTGTTAGTGTATATGTATGTACTCAATAGTCATTTACTCAAATGCATAAAAAGCACAATCTAAAGATCTTCAATGATATTATCTCAAAGCATCCTGTCCTTTTCTTGCATGATTTATAATTACATATGTGTAGTTTCTTCATTAATGTCATTTTCCTTAATGAGCCAAGCAATATCACGGCAGGAACCATATCTGTTTTGTTTACTACTGATTACTCAGCATCCAGTCCAATTCCTAGCACATAGTGTTTAGTAAATATGAATTTGGTAACTGAAGAATAAATAATACTTGGCTATTTAATCTGTTCCGAAACTCAGAAAAAGAAATGAAACTTCTCAATTGTTTTTACAAAGCAATCAGATGCGAATACCAAAACTAGACAAAACACATTAAAAAACAACAACTATAGACTGATCTCTTATGAATATTGATATAAAAATCCTAAATATATGCATTGGCAAAGTAAATCCATCAGGACATTAAAATAATAACAGATCAATTAGGGCTCATTCCAAGATGCAAAAATGGTTCAATAAATAGTAAATCCATAAATTTAACCATACTAATAGGTCAAAATAAAAAACCACAAAGGGGCAGCTGGGGTCTGGGATGGGGGTAGGAGAGCCACATGTCAGACTGTCAAAAGGAAGTTACTATATAACGTTCACCAGATGCTTTGTAACATGCAAATTTTTGTTGCTGCACAGTATTTCTTCATTTATGCATGCTATTTTTTACCATACTTAATCCAAAAACAAATTAAGATGCCCCCAAAGAAAACTATTTAGTAACAGTGAAAAATGTCCTACCATAAATTATTCAGGAGAAAGTTCCAAAAGAAGTATATGTGTAATATACCATATCTTAAAGAATATAAACCACAATTTAAACAATGGTCATCTTCTGCACACTTATCAATATCTGGTATTTTTTCTTGTTTATCTGATTGTCCTCCAACCACTAGATTAGTTTCATGAATACAGGGCTTTGTCCTTTTCATTGTTGTATGCCAGTGCTCAGAACAGTGCCTGTTATACAGTAGGGTTTCAATAAATATTTACTTAACAAATTAATCAATTAGTTTTCCAGATCACTTTATTTCTAATTAAAGCCCCTCAGTACCCTCTCACTGCCCTCAGAACACAAAACACACCCTCCTGGCCATGGACAAGTAAAATTTGGTCCCTGCCAATTTCCTATACCTCATCTTGCTCTACTTTTCCCTGACTTACTACTGAGTGGCAGCTACATGGATTTTTCTTTTTATAGCTTTTTCCTCTTTTAAGGCCTTTGTGCATGCTGTTATTTCTGACCAGAATTCTTTTTTTTTTCTCCCCATTCCTCCCATGGTTGAGCTCTTTCTGTTCCTTTAGTGACATCTATTTAAGTCATCCACTCAGATAAACCTCGGATTACCCTGCTGCAAGTGTTTTCTTTAAAGCATTAGAACATGGAATTATTATAAATTTACTTTTTGGTGGGTTGGGAGAGGTCTATTTTCCCCAGCAGAATGTAAGGTTTATAGAGGCAGGCATTGTCTGTTCACCAAAGTCCCCAGGGTCCAACAGAGCTCCTAGCACCACAGTAGATAATCAAATATTCTATGAAGTTATCTTTGGATGGGACAAGTACAGGTAGTTTTTGCTTTACTTTTTACAGCTTTATATATTATCTGAAATTTTAAATAAACATAATCTGGGTGAAATAAAGCTATTTCCACTTTGGAAAAAAGATCTCCTGTAGTCCTAAGTAGCAGCCAGTTATAGTTGTGGTTTTGTGGGGGTTCCCCCCTCCTCCAGGGATGAGGTTGCCCAGGTTGGTCTTGAACTCCTGAAGTTACAGGTTTTTTTTAAATGAAGAAAATGTAGAGAAAACAAATAGCATTTCCCGTAAGTCAAAACAGAGACCCAGAAAACAAAGTGACCCTATTAAAAGCCAAAAAATACAATTTGAGAAATACACAATTTTCACAGAAACTTAAACATTCATTAAAAAATTTCTTGCCACATACGAGTTTAAACCAAGATAATCACGGCACGCACAAAGGGAGTAAAAACTAAGGTAATAACCTGCAAATACTTGAAGCGCAAAGTCAATGTGCAATCCCTGTTCTACATTTCAAAAGATGACCTTAGCTATTGTAGGTTTACATAGGCACACACACAACTAGCACCGTCTCTCTGGCGGTTCTGCAAGGGCTCCACCACTACCACACACAATCCACTCACAATCAGGAGTGAAGTTAAGCCTTCGGGTACCATACAAAAGTGTCTTTCATCACCAGGGCTCTGCTGCGGGGCCTCACTGACCCTGCCAAAGCTTCTCTCCCCACACCCTCACCAGAAGGTAAAACGTTACTAGACAGAATAGGCCCATTTTCTCGGGTCTCCTTCGCACTCAGCGCTGTATTAACAGTCACCTCCGTGGGTGAGCCCGCCCCAGGCACAGCGGGGGTCAGAGCTTCCCACAACAGCATGTGGGAGACCTAGGCCCCTCCCCGACTCACCTCATGGTGTGTTGGGGAGGGTGGCTGTGTCTCTGCTCCGCCGGCAGCCCCTCCGGCCCCCTCCCGCCAGCCAAGGCCAGTGCGCCAGAGCGGGGAACTCCGCGCAGGGCGTGCTGAGCGTGTAGGGCGCGGGGCCGGCGGCGCCTTTTGAAAGTCAACAAGGGCGACGCCGGCTCCGCGAGCGGAGCCCAGGGGCATGGCCCTGACTCGGCGCCCACGGACCCCACAGAACGAGGGGATCCCTGCAAACCCCACTGAGCCCGTACAGCCAACAGGGCTGGGAGATCCCCGCACACTCCGTAGACCCAACGGAGCTTGTAGCGGGTAGGGACTCCACACACCAGGGAACCCTACAGAACCCGCAGGACCCCAGGACCCTGCAGACCTGGGCGGGCTCAGTCGTCAGAACGGAGCACAGGACAGCAAGCCAACTGCCCCCGAGTTCTTGGACGTCACACAGTAACCCCACTAGGAGGATGGTTTTAGTATTATTTTACAAAGCTCACTCCAAGCTCCAATTTCCTTAAGTGTCCTACCCGCAAGCCCCTAGTAAGGATATCTATCAATCTCAGGTCTAATCTAAAATACACGTTCTTTTCACTACAGTGATCTCAAGTTATTATAACTCTTCGTCCCACATCATTTATGCAGCCTCACCGGCTACAGTTTGATGCAGCTTTTTAAATTTACTATGTAGATAATAAAAAATGTATTTATACATGTCACAAAATTAAAAAGTCATAATGAATATGGCTTTTTTTTTTTTTTTGAGACAGAGTGCAGTGGCACAATCTGGGCTCACTGCAACCTCTGCCTCCTGGTTTCAAGCGATTCCCCTGCCTCAGCCTTCTGAGTAGCTGGAATTACAGGTATGGGCCGCCACGCCTAGCTAATTTTTGTATTTTTAGTAAAGGCGTTTCACCGTGTTAACCTGGCTGGTCTCAAACTCCTGACCTCAACTGATCAGCCCGCCTCTGTCTCTCTAAATGCTCAGATTACAGGCGTGAGCCAACATGCCAGGCCTGAATATGGTTTTTTAATACTTCACATAGCTTCAGGAAAATTGATACCAATGCCTGGGGTAGGGATGAGGTCCCTTCCCAATAAGCCATGCAGCCCTAACAAAATTTACGAAAAATTTAATCAAACGGAGGTGCAGGGGGAAGATGAAGTGTTTGGCCTGATCTAAGGACATCTTTACTCATTATGTTTTAACTAAGCAATCTAAGATACCCACATGCATTGCCCAGAAGAAAGCCTAATTAGTAGATCTTATTCATCATTACCATTAGTGTGTTGTATAGCATATAGGATAATTTGAACTTATAAAGCAAGTTAAATTCATAAACAATTATGTAGATTAACAAAGAGCTATTCAAAATAAAAAATTCACTAAGGTATTTAGTATATCCAGTAGGAGACAAATTACCTTTTTTAAAAACTTTTTTTTTGGAATTACACCCCTTGAGTAAAGTGTATTACACCTATGTACTATGACTTTTTCATTTAGCTGTGGCTTGCTTATTTTTGGATTTAATATTCAATTTTTGAAGATTGTTTTAACATTCTCAAAATCCAGTCTACCACAAAAAGTATTTTTGGTAATCAGGCTGATGCTTATAAACACCACAATTTTTTTCCTCCTACATTATGTAAAAACAACAACAAATTCTTTAGAGACCATACTTTTTATATTCAAGATCATATAACTTTCTTTTTTTTTTTTTTTGAGACGGAGTCTCACTCTGTCGTCAGGCTGGAGTGCAGTGGCGTGATCTCGGCTCGCTGCAATCTCTGCCTCCCAGGTTCAAGCGATTCCCCCACCTCAGCCTCCCAAGAAGCTGGGACTACAGGCATGCACCATCATGCCCGGCTAATTTTTTGTATTTTAGTAGTGACAGGGTTTCACCATGTTGGCCAGGATGGTCTCGATCTCCTGACCTTGTGATCCACCCACCTCGGCCTCCCAAAGTGCTGGGATTACAGGCATGAGCCACCGCGCCCAGCCTCAAGGTCATATAATTTTCATTAGAATTATTTCAAAGCTTATATGGTGACTTTTTAAAACATCTCTATACAGTAATGACCATTGTTCTGGCTCCTCATCAACTGGGTTTATGAGTTTGTGCTTTGGCATTAAACCATCTTTTGCCTGTATAAAATGGTTGTATCGTATTCATTAATATACTTATTGCAAGGATACACACTGTTAAGTAGTTTTGTCCCTCTTACAAAAATATCCTGAGAATAAGTTCCTCTCAGAAACAATTATATTTCAAGACCCACTTTTGGGTACTCTTGATTATTACATATGGCAAAAGAGAACGTGACATCTGATTTATGCCAGAATAAAGATAACTATGTATGGCCACCACCTCTACACGTAGCCCACGCAAAATGTCCTGGGCACAGATAAATAGGGGATATGCACAAGGGTAAAGTAGGTGCCCCAACTGGACAAACCTCAGGCATTGGGATCTTGAATATTCCTTCTCCTAATGAGGGAGCAGGTGTACATGAAAGGTTCTAAACAGGGTCTATTTCACCATGCCAAGGAGGGTAGTGAATCTTTATACAAAATATTAGCAAGGGATTTAGTTCTCCGATTAAATGTAATTAAAATCTTACTAAGAGAAAACAAAGTACACTCCAGATACATTTCTTATGATAAAAACAGTAATTTTAAAAAGCAAATTAAAAAAGCCAACTAAGCCAAGCAATAAAAGCAAAAGCTGGTTATTTGTAGAGTAATAATAAAGTAGGTAATCTTTTAGCAAATATAAATAAGTAAAAAGGAAAAAATTAAATATTGAAAGCAAAGACGATACAACCACAAATACAAGGAAGATATTTCTAAAATTATAAATCACCATGTATAATTTATATCAATAAATCTGAAAACTATAAAAATATAATTTACCAACATTGGTCTAAATGGAAGAAACATTTAAATAAACCAATAATGATGAAGAAAATGAAAAGAGTAGTCAAAAACTCTACCCCCTCTTCCAAAAGACTAGTTCCAGAGATTTCCTGTTTTACTTTTAACTTATCAAAAATTATCAAAAATCCACAAGTTTGGCAATGTATGTCTGTTGGGGAAGCTGTGGGAAACAAAGTGAAAGAAGAGTAAAAGACCAGAAGAGAATATTTACTATGTAGATAATTTAAAAAATTATTTATACATTAAGATAAATAACACGAATGGAAATCACATTTAATAAATTATGAATAAACACATTTAAAAACATCTCCAATTTACAGATTTAAGAAGACAATCCCAAGCAAGATACATACATGCTTGTTTTTTTGTTTTTTTGAGATGGAGTCTTGCTCTGTCGCCCAGGCTGGAGTGCAGTGGCGTGATCTCTGCTCACTGCAACCTCTGCCTCCCGAGTTCAAGCAATTCTTCTGCCTCAGCCTCCCGAGTAGCTGGGACTACAGGCGCGCACCCCCATGCCGGGATAATTTTTGTATTTTTAGTAGAGACAGAGTTTCACCATATTGGTCAGGCTGGTCTTGAACTCCTGACCTCTTGATCCGCCCACCTCGGCCACCCAAAGTGCTGGGATTACAGGCGTGAGCCACCGCACCCGGCCAATACATACAAGTTAACAGCAAAGCAGCAAAAAGCTAAAGATCAAAACAAACAACAAAAGAACCCACAAAAAACAGTCAGAACAAAATGAATTGATAGACTGATAGGTGACTTTTCAATAGCAATAATGAAAGCCAAAAGACAGAGGAATAAGAGCTTCAGCATGTTAAAAGAAAACAATTGCCAACTTTTGTATTCAGCAAAAACATCATTCAAGAATGGCTGCAAAATAAAGACATTTTCAGGTGAACAAAAACTGAGTGTTCATCATCAATAGATCTTCAATAAAAGCCATTCCAAAAACTGTACTTTTTAAAGGAGACAGGGTCTTGCTCTGTCACCCAGGAAGGTGTGCAGTGGCATGATGATGGCTCACTGCAATATCAACCTTCTGGGCTCAAGCAATCCTCCCACCTCAGCCTCCCAAGTAGCTGGGAACACAGGTGTGTGCTACCACGCTCCACTAATTTTTTTTTTTTTGTAAAGATGGGGTCTCACTATGTTGCCCAGGCTGGTCTCAAACCTGGCTGAAGCAATCCTCCCAGCTCAACTTCCCAAAGTGCTAGCATCACACGCATGAGCCCACGCACCCAACCAATTTTCTGAAATTATATAATGAAATGTGTCATGTGAAAGAGCTGCACAATTCAGTGAACCAATGTTTTCCAAATGACACATGTGTAGGTAAAAGAGCCCTTGAAAGTGCATGGTAGGCCAATGTTAATGTCAGAGCATGAGAAGTTCATTCATATGATTTGCAATTCTACACTGCAGCTAACGTTTAACAAATTGTTAGGGGCTGGATGTTATAGTCCCAGTGCTTTGAGAGGCGAGGCAGGGGGACTGCTAGAGGCCAGCAGTTCGAGACTAGCTTGGGCAACATAGCAATACTGTCTCTACAAAAAAAAAAAAAAAAAAAAAAAAATTAAAAATTAGCTGGGCCTGGTGGTGTGTGCCTGTAGCCCTAGTTACTCAGGAGGCTGAGGCAGGATTGTTTGAACCCAGGAGTTGGAGGCTGTAGTGAGCTATGATCACATCACTGCACTCTAGCCTGGGCGACAGAGCAAGACACTGTCCTAAAAAACAAAACAGAAACAAAAACACAAAACTGTTAGGTTTTGATGAGTATCAAAAAAGAACATAATCATCTGAAAAGATTATTAAAATATTCATCTCTTTTCTAACTACTCAGCTGAATGACGCTGGATTTTCTTCATGCACTTCAACCAAAATAATACATGGCAACACAATGAATACAAAAGCAGATGAGACTCTAGTCATTAAAGGAGACCTTCAGCGTATTTGCAAAAATGTACAAAAATCCCATTCTTGTCACTAATTTTGGGGAGATAAAATATGTTAAGATGTAATGGGTTATTATATTTAAAGGTACCAATAAATAAACATACATTTCAAATTTATCAGTTTTAATATCTAATACGGTAATTATCAATTGATATAATCCAATAAACAAAAGATCTTTGGGATCTTCAGCAGTCTTTTGAGACGGAGTCTCACTCTGTCACCCAGGCTGCCGTAGAGTGACACAACCTTGGCTCACTGCAACCTGTCTCCCAGGTTCAAGTGATTCTCTTGTCTCGGCCTCCCGAGTAGCTGGGACTACCTGCACCTGCCACCACACCTGGCTAATTTTTGTATTTTTAGTAGAGATGGTGTTTCACCATGTTGGCCAGGCTGGTCCCTAACTCCTGACCTCAAGTGATCCACCTGCCTTGGCCTCCCAAAGTGCTGGGATTACAGGCGTGGGCCACCGTACCTGGCCCCCTCAATGGTTCTTAAAAAGTGTAGAGGGGTCCTGGGAATAAAGTTTCTAAATTGCTAAACTATAGGCACGTGCTTTAACATGAGTGAATCTCAGAAACAATGTTTAACAAAAGTAACTCATAGAATACAGAATGACTTTATTTAAATAAAGTTCAAAAACAGGTAAGAGTAAACAATGCTAGTTAAGGATATCTATATAGGTGATAAAACTGTTTAAAAAGGCAAGGGAATAATTAACACAAAATTAATAATGGCCAGGGTAACGGGGGGCAGGGAACGCATTCCTCCTGGGGTAGAAACACACAAAAGGTTTCCAAACTAACTAAAGTTTCTAAAGCTTTTATTAATTTTTGTTATGAAATATACCATTAACATGTACTGACAAAAAGCATATTTATTACACAGATACGCTTTGTCAGTACATATTAATGACATATTTCACAATAAAAAATTTTTAAAGAAAAGGGAGATGTACATATTCTCTTAGAAGGAAAAACTCAAATAAATGTCTCTTCTCAGATTATATATTCAACACCATCACAAACAATATCCCAAGATTTTCTATAGGACTTAAAAAGATAGTTTTAATTTCTTCTGGAAGAAAAAATGCAAAAGAAAAACCCAAAGCTCTTTTTCAAAAGAAAGTACCAAAATATATTATAAAACTATGATAATTAAAATGCTACAGTAATAGTTACATGGGCGAAAGAAAAGAGAGCTCAGACTCAATAAAAACATCAGCAAATGATATGACCTGCCTAAAAAGATTTAACTTTTGTATTCACCAAGGAAGATAAAAATTAAAACAGAATGTTACTTTCAATTACTAGGTGGCTAAGATATTTTAAAAATACCATTATCATCCAGTGCTGGCTAGCATGGAGATAAAAACACATCTTTTGAGCGAGTGAACATAAAAAGGTACAATCATTTCAGGGCAATTTAGCAACATGGTTATCCAGCACTCTCATAAGGAGTCAATTCTACAGAAATACTATCATGACCACCTGAAGCACTGTTTATAACAGCAAGAGATAATCACTGCAGTATTGTCAGTTATAGGGATATCTTGAAAATAACTTGAATGTCTACCAACAGAAAAATGAAATTCACTTGATAAATACATGCCATATTGATCTATTTTTACTGAATAGATAGTATACTGTATTTAACAAACACCATGTCTCAGTCAAGTTCTTAGGCACTTCACCGATTTTAACCCATTTTAACAACTATGTTTGGACCACAGGAGATGCTTATAATCTCCCTTTAAAAAAATTAGTTACATTTGGGCAAATGTTCTGTATACACAAAACTTCAAATATACCGTCTTGGTCTTCCTTAACATAATTGTGGACCTTTTGTCACCCTTTTTCTGGCCTGGCTTAGTTATTTATTGATGTACAGTACAGGACATACCGCATACAGTCACCCATTCCTATAAGGCAGTTTTTCGACAGAAGGGTATTCTTGCACCGTTAGGGGACACTGCTTTGCTATAAACCTCCTAGGCAGGATTACCGCCAGGCTCACCCCTAGTTTTATTCAGGGAACACTGTAGACTCTAGGATCGCGAATGCCATTCCAATAATACCATACACTTGTACGCCACATATTTAAGTTTTGGATACACTTTCATAAACTTTTCTATTCTAATTGTACCTTACAGGGAGAATAAGGAAGAGTAAGCGTGGTTTGTTTAAAGTTACAGATTTCAAATAGACAAGAAGCGACTAAGAGAAACTTGAGAATTCCCAAAGTAATCTTCCTCAAAATTTCAGTCATCAACCCAGTTCTCCCACGAAACGCTGCTTGGCGCCGCCTTCAGACAAACTTCTGTGTTGCTCGCACCAAGTTATCCCAACGCGGCTTGCGCTTGCTGCTGAAATGACCCTCCCTTCGGAGAGACCTGTTTTACCCTAAAAAGAAAAGGTGGCGCATTGCCATGAAGTCTCGAGTAGCAGCAGGCTTCACGCAGAACCCGCAGGAAATGATTTCCCAGCCGGTGCAAACCCGAAGACGGAAACTTCAGCCAAGAACTTATCAGCATATCCCTGAGGACGCAGCTGTCCCCTGACAGGCGACGCAAACGAAACGCCTCAGAAAGGGGCAAGATGACACGGTTAGGATCTCCCTGCCGGCGACACCGAGCGCGGCCACAGGTTGTAGCGCAGGACAGAAGGTTGAGTCATCTAGAAGGCGCCGACCCCTCCCACCCCCTCACCCGGAGCGCGGCAAAAGGCAAGGAGAACGCGTCGACCCTCGCAGCCAAGCCCCGGCAGCTGCCCGAGCGCTCGGCCTCGGGGACCCGCCGTCCTCCTCGCAGGGTTCCCGGGCGCCCAGGCCGAGGAGGGACTTACCCGTCCTTGGCGTGGCCGCCGCCCCCGAGGACCTGAGATCCCGGCTCGGCCTCCTTCCCATGCTTCTCCCGGCCGTGCTCTGCGTCCTCCCGGGCCCTCGCGACACCGGCGCACGTGGGAAGCACCAGTCGCCGGCTCCGCGCTCCCGCGGGGACCCCCCTCAGGGGCACGCCGTCCGCCCCAGCCCCGGGGTCCTCGCCGCGGGCGCTGACAGGGACGCCGCGGCCGCCCGCGCTCTGTCTCCCGTCAGGGTCACGGGCAAGAGGCAACCCCGGGACGCCCGGCAGCCTGCGAGAACATGCCGACTTTCTCTCTGACCGGCGCTAGCAACCGGAAGCAAAACCTCGCGGCCAAAGGAAAAGAAAAGGGGAGGGGGGGGCAAAAAAAGAAAGTGAAAACTGAAGTGAGGCGTCTCCCTCAGAGATGGGAACCAATCGCCGGGAAGAAACCAAGGCGCAGGCGCGGACCGAGGTCAGCGTCCACGCGGCGCTCGCGTCTCCCCTCTGCGCAGGCGTAAGGCCACAGCTCGCTCCTGATTAGGCGGCCGATCCCAACGAGCGCGTGGTGTCTCGCGTTGCCGACCCTTGACAGGAGGCGGAAGATGCCCTTGGGAAGAGGCGGGAGACGCTCTCTCGGCTGACCTACAGTGCTGTGGCTGTGGCCCACGTGGTCGCCTTCGGGCGCCTTCTCCCTTCTCAGCGTTTCATTCCCCAGGTGCTGCTGCAAGAACAGTTTATTTGTCTGGCCCGAATGCGACATTTTGGAAATTTTGCCCTTGTTTTAATCCATATAGTAGGTGTGGCTGTTACCCCCTAGGAAAGCATCTCTAGAAATTTATAACACATGCACAGAGAGCTAAGGTGACCATCAATAAATTCAGGTTTACCCTTGCCCATGATAAATAGTCATGCAAACATCATTTAACTGTAGGGACACCTTATGAGAGAGATGCCTCATTAGGCAATTTGGTCCTTGAGTGAACATCACAGAAACCTAGAAGCATAACCTACTACATACTTACACCATAAGCCATAGCCCATTACTCCTGGCTACAAACCCATGCTATATGTTATTGTACTGAATACTGTGGACAATTATAACACAATGGTAAGTATTTGTATAAGCATATCTAGACATAGAAAAGGTACAATAAAAATACAGTATGAAAAATAATGGTACACCTGTGTAAGGCATTCTCACGAATGGACCTTGCAGTACTGGGAGTTGCTCTGGGTGAGTCTGTGAGTGAGCAATGAGAATGTGAAGGTCTGGGACATTACTGTACACTCTTGTAGACTTTATAAACACTGTACACCTAAGCTACACTGAATTTATTTTTTTAAATTTTTTCATAATTAACCTTAGCTTACTGTAACTTTTTAACTTTTTAAAACTTTTAAAAAACTTTTTAAGACTCTTTTGTAATAACACTTAGCTTAAAACAAACACATTGTACACAAATATTTTCTTTATATCCTTAATCTGTAAGTTTTTTTCTATTTAAAAATTTTTTTAATTTACTTTTTAAACTTTTTTGTTAAAAACTAAGACACAAACACACATTAACCTGGGCCTACACAGGGTCAGGATCATCAACATCATTGTCTTCACCTCCATTTTGTCCCACTGGGGGGCTGGGATTACGGTGGAGCCACTGCGCCTGGCCATGTGTGCTGTACTTTTATATGACTGGCAGTGCAGTAGATTCATTTACACCAGCATCACCACAAACATATGAGTAATGTGTTGCTGTACGAAATTAAGATGGCTACGACATCACTAGGCAATAGAACTCTTCAGCTCTATTATAATCATATAAGATCACTGTTGGATATGTGGTCTGTTGTTAACTGAAACATTAAGTGACATATGACTGTACCAATGAGAGAGATTAAGTGCTAATGAACATGTATCATGAGTCAAGCACTGTGCTGGTAATACCAAGAGATTCAGTCATTGTGTTTACTGTTTACTGTAACCAGGTGCTGTAATAGACACTGGTTTTACAATCATGAACAAGCTAGATAAGGACCCTGCCTATAATGGAATTTATTCCAGAGGTGAGTGACAAACACAGGTAAATCACCACGACAAGAAAATAGAATCTCAGATAACAATACATGCTGTGAAAACTCACTGGAAATGCTAGTGGATGGGACTGGGGGCTGGAGGCCAAGGGCAGAAGTAGTGGAGCTACAAGATCTTACTGAAATGGGCACATCTGAGGTCAAACCCTAAAGATCAAAACTGATAGAACCAAAGCTTGGAATACGTGGAGGAAGAGCTTTCCAGGCAGAAGGGAAAGCAAGTGCAAAGGACTTGAGAAGTGAAATGAAACCTATTCAAGAACAGAAGAAGGCTGACTGTGGAAGTAGAGAGTGAAGTACAACAACATTTTAATAGTGCACAAAACCGGAATGTACAACTCCATGATTTATCACAAGGCAAATATTCATGAAACCAACACCCCCATCAAGAAATAGAACATTGCCAGTACCCCATCCCTCTTCCCTAGCCTAAGCACTATTCTGACTTCCATGGTACTCTCTTCTTTGCTTTTAAAAGTAAGTTTGCCAACTAAATATGCACCCTGAAACTTTATCATTTAGTTTGCTTGTGGTTTGAACTGTATATAAAGTGAATAATTTTGTGCCTGCTTGTGAGACTCACTGTGTTTTTGGGTGTACTTGTTCTTTCGTTTTCATTGCTGTATATGTAGGCGTGAATGTAACACATTTGCTTTACCCATTGTATTATTGATGGACATTTGGGCTGTGTCCAGTTCTTGGCTATTATAAATAATACTTTTGTGATCATTCTCATTTACATCTCTTGGTGTACATGGGCACTCATTTCTGTTGGATGAAAACCTAGGATTGGGATTTTGGAATGCTAGACATGATAATTTAGATTTTTGTTTCTGCAAATATTTATGCCCTTATTCCCCACGGTTGGCCAAGTTTCCTTCTCTACTTCATTGACGTTGGGCTTGGTCTAAGAGAGGTCTTTTGGCTGATAGAATATCAGCAGACATGACACAGCAGGATTCTTCAGTGTGCTCGTGCTGTTTGAGTTGGCTCCTGTGCTCAGGTGATTCATATGTGGAGAAAATATCTCGCGTAGCTGTTGTCTCTTCAGCCTGAGTCTCCAGAACAAACCTATGTGGAACAGATGTGACACCAACCCACAGTCCAACACACTTTGGATTAACAGAGCCTTAGACATCCTGAAGATCAAGGATTCTGAAAGTTAATGCTGTTATCAAAAGCTAACCGAGTTTGGGGTGATTTATTATAGGGCATTATTGTGGCAATAACAAGGGCATATGTTCAACTTTAGCAGATCATTTCAAACTTTTTGCAAGCTGGTTTTACTAAGTTATACAGTTCCACAAAGATAATTCTAGTTCGTCTACATCCCTGCCAATACTTTTGAATTGTAGCCACTCTGAAGGGTGTGTCATGGTTTGAATTTGCATAGTATACAATGTTGTTCTTTTTCAAGTATGTTTGGCTATTCTAAGTCTTTTTTTTTTTTTTTTGAGACGGAACGTCACTCTTGTTGCCCAGCCTAGAGTGCAGTGGTGCAATCTTGGCTCACTACAACCTCCGCCCCCCACCCCCAGCCCCTGTTCAAGCAATTCTCCTGCCTCAACCTCCCTAGTAACTGGGATAACAGGTGTCTGCCACCACGCCTGGCTAATTTTTTATATTTTTAGTAGAGATGGGGTTTCGCCATTTTGGCCAGGCTGGTCTCAAACTCCTGACCTCAGGTGATCCACCCGCCTCGGCCTCCCAAACTGCTGCGATTACAGGCATGAGTCACTGCACCCGGCCCATCTATTCTAAGTCTTTTAAGTTTCTGTATACATTTTAGAACCAGCTTATTTTCTACCTCAAAAACAACCTGTTGGGATTTTGGTTGGGATTGTGCTGAATGTACATATCAATCTGGGAGAGAATTAACATCTTACTAATTGTCAAATTCTACTTATTCAGGTCTTTAAAAATTTCCTTCAGCAATATTTATAGTTTTCAGTGTACAGCTCTTGCACATATTTTGTCATATTTATCTCTTTGTTTTTGATGTTATTCTTAATAGTACTAAAAATTTTTGCAATAATTTGTTGCTAGTATATAGAAATAAAATTGATTTTTCCATATTAACTTTATATCTTGTAGCTTGCCGAAATCACTTATTATATCCAGTAGCTATTTGTTTGCACATGTGTGCATTCTTTATGCTTTTTTAGGACATTTTCTGCAAATAAAAATAGTTTTACTTCATTGTTTCTAATTCGTATTTCTTTTCTCCTTATTGCATCAAGGCCATTCCATTAATGTAATGTTCAATATAAGGAGTGAAATAAAATATCCCTGACTCAAAAAAAAAAATCCTTGTCTTGTCTCTCATCTTAGTGCAAAAGCATTTAGTTTGTAACCATTAAGCATAATGTTAGCTTTGGTGTTTTGTACCCTTTTTTAGATTTATGAATTTCCCTTCTGTTCCTACTTTTTGAAAGTTTTTCTCATAAACGGGTGTTGAATTTGGTCAAATACTTTTCTGCATCTATTGAGGTGATTATATAGTTTTTCTTTTCTGATCTACTAATATGGTGAATTACATCAATTGATTTTTCAAATGTTAAATCAACAGTGAATTCCTGAGATAAACCCAATTTATTCTGGATTCATTATCCTTTTCATATATTATACTGGATATGAATTGCTGATATTTTGTTAAGGATTCTGGCATTTGTATTCATACAAGATATTGGTCTATGTTTTTGTTTTATTTTTCTTGTGAGGTCTTCAGTTTGGGTATGAAGGTAACTCTGGCCTCATCCAATGAGTTGGGAAGTTTTCTTTCTTAATTTTCAAAATACTTTGATTTAAATTGGCAGTATTTCTTCATAAATGTTTAATATAATTAATCAGTGAAACAATCAGGGCCTGTGTTTTTTATAGCAAGGTTTTTAAGTGCAGGATGTTATATCTTTAGTAGATATAGACCTATAAAGACCTAATATCTATTTCAGAGAAAGAGAGTTCTACCAATGCCACTGTCGTACCAGAGTGATGGTGGGCATATTTAAAGTTGTGTCATCATGAGAAGCACGATCAGAAGCTTAACACTATGTGTGTGGGGAAATATTACACAGAGTTGCGTCAATTTATTATCTAAACTCTAGTTGCCAATCAAGAATTATAAGGCATGCAAAGAAATGGGAAAGTATAACCCATACAATGAGAAAAAAACAAGCAGCAGAAACTGCCCAGAAGATGACCAGATGTCAGATCTAACAGAAAGGATTTCAAAGTAACCATTGTCCATGACTGTATTCCCATCACTTAGTGTGACTCAGAGAATGGAAATCCATGTGCTGAATACACAGACTCCCTCTTCTGGGCTTTCCATATCTGCAGAATGAGAAGGTCGGAGAGGAAAACTCCAATTCCTGACAATCCTACTCTTATTCTCCATTGTATACAATTTTAATAACTAACATGGAAATAAAAGTTCAAGAGAACGACAAGACTGCTTGACACAAAATAATATGGAGCTATCCTCTGTCCTGTCCTCTACCTGATTCCTCCTTGGAGACAAGCACTTCCAATTCTTTTAGCTGTTTCTTCTGCTATTTACTCAATTATTTTTTCCTGCCACTCTTGACTTCTCAATTTCATTCTTCTTATTACTATATTAAATAGAGATGGGGGTCTCACTATGTTGCCCAAGCTGGTCTCGAGCTACTGGGCTCAAGCAATCCTCCTGCCTTAGCCTCCCAAAGTGTTGGGATTACAGGCATGAGCTACTGTCTCCAGTTGACTTCTCAGTTTTAGATAAAATCTTCCTAAAATGGCTAATGAGGACTGAGCTATTTCAGGCAACACCCCGCAAGTGTACATTTGCTTTCCTCCATGCTTTCTATATAGTCATGTCATCATTTTTTATTGTGTGTTTACAGCTAAGCCATAAAAAACATTTGTACAAATTTTGTTTTACTTGATATTAGCAACTGCATCATTTTTAATCTCTGTATCTATCAAAAATATCACCCCAAGTTCTTTAACCACACACACACAGACACAGACACATACACACGTTATATTAGGAGTATGAGGGAGAGAAAATGTGTGTGTATAAAAATGGGGGAAGAGTAAAAGGGGTTAAATCATCTGTAATAATAAGTAGGAAACCAAGAATGTCTCTGTTTTAAGAGTATCCCATTGCCCAATTTATAAAACTTAGCAATACTGCAGGACTTCCTCCAAAAAATGCCGTAAGAAAAATACAAAGTGCTGTGTTTAGAAATTTTTTAAAAAAAGAAGCGCTATGGAAGTGGAGAGAAGTGCAGGATGAAATCTGCTGCCCTCAGGCTGTTCTCAGCCAGGGCCTGAGCGTGGTGGAGGAGGAGTTTGGGTCATTCCTGCCCAGAGCAGGGCTTCTCTCACGGAGAACCTTCATGCTGAGGTGCACATCTCCCAGCTGAGACTTTCCTAGAGCTCCATGGTGGTCTGAGACTCTCCCTACCCAATTCTTCCTCCTCGTTTCCATGCACAAGTGTCAGGTCTGCACCACAATCTGAGACTCTCCCCGCCTACTCTTGCTCTTTCCCGGTTTATTCTTTACAGGCATTTCCCCCAATAAATCGCCTGTATGTCTGCTTTTCAGAGACCAGGAACTGATACAAGTAAATACTAAGAGTGGTCCAAGAAAACAGAAGGCCAGCTGGGGTTTTGGAATTGGGTGACTCACGGTCCTGATGGCAAAAAGGGGCTCATTCCAAGAGGAATGTGAGGTATAGGACAGACCTTGGTAACAAGTGGTGGCCTGAATGGTGACGATTTCACCAGAGTTAACCCAGGAGAAGTGACGATTATGCAGGTGTGAGCTCACAATAAGAGAGGTGGTGACAGAGCTGAGGTACTAGAGGCAGGCGGTCTCCAGGGGCAGGCAGGATCTAGGGTAATAGAGGCAGGCGGGGTCTGATAGAAGCTGTCAGAAGTCATTACTCTAATGACTGGCAGAGGTGGAGAGACAGCCCACGGGGCCTGGCCCTTAGAGGGGGCAGATAGGACATAGTATTCCAAAATAAATAGGCAGCTAGGGAGGGTTCTACATAATATCTGCAACTAGGAGAAGGCCAGGAAGGAGGAGAGGGAAGCTGGAGGTGGAGATGGAGCAGAAGTAGCCCCAATTCCTATCACTTCCACGGGGAGACATCCATTCCCAAACTCCCAAGTTCTGCCAGGGTGGAGATCCTGGTCTGTCTCCAAAAAAGGTGTCTCACATGTGCCAGAAAAAACAAAAAGAAAAAATTAAATAACCCTAAAATGTGTCCTCTTCCCAGGAGACTCAGCACCTGCCCTTCGAATCCCAAGCTAAAGCTGCTGCCAGGGCACTTAGACTCTTGTGTCAAGGCAGCAGCAGGTGCGAACAGCTGTGACTTTCTTGACAGTAGTGATTGCTGCCGATGGGTAGGAGGAGGTAGAGCTGTCTTTGAACACGGGAAGGAACACTTGTACAATCCAGGGGTGCACTTGGGGGCCTCTTGGTACTCCCTTGTCCCATTGTAACTGTTGATGGACACAGGCAGCAATTCCAGCCTTAGAAATGTATGATGATTATGAGTTCAGGCCCCTTGAGTGTCAAGGTTTGAGTCATGTTACAAGGTGAGCCATGAAGACTTATTGAGGTGATAGCTAAGAGGGATAGGAAAATTTAAAATATGGTGGAGGAAGAAGAGGATGAATGCCCATTGAAGCCCTGAGACTAACTGCAGAGAGAGATCCTATTTGTACCACTGACCTTCTGTTTCTAAGTTCCCCATTGAGAGGCTCTTGGGAATCATAAGGAAACTGCTCCCCTAAATATGTACGGAGAAATAGATTTATCTGGTGGAAGGAGGTAGACTGTGGTAGTGATGGAAGTGATCTTTCTAAAGAGAAGCTGCTCTGGGAGCAGAGTTGACTCACAGATTCCAACTTCCACCCCACTGGAGCCACCATGCCTCTCACACTTCCTCCAGGATGTTCCCAGACAGTGGCTGAGCACAGCGGGGATACGAGTGCTGGTCCAAGCCTGCCTGGACCCTCCAATGGGCAACCTTTGCTCAGGCACTCTCCATCAGCCTGGCAAAACTACACTCAGACCTGAGCTGTGATCTGAGACTCCTTATATCCAGACCTTCCTTATTGCTCTTCCTTCACAGATACCAGGCTTTTATCTCCATCTGCGCGTTCTCCCACAATACCCCTGCACCTCCCCGTTTACTCTTCATGGAATTTTCCCTAATAAATCTATTGCACGTCTAGCCCATCTTGGTGTCTGTTTCTTGGAGAACTGAAACTGACACACTGCCCAATAAGCCTTTGGGGAGCACTCCTAACCCTGGCTTATTTCATTGTTTGCTTCCCAGAGAACATAGCAGCACTCTTGTAATCTTACTAAAAATGCAAATGCTGGGCCCCACACCTGAAGTTTCTTTTTTTTTTTTGAGACAGAGTCTCACTCCATTGCCCAGGCTGGAGTGCAGTGGCATGATCTTGGCTCACTGCAACCTCTGCCTCCCAGGTTCAAGCAATTCTCCTGCCTCAGCCTCCCAAGTAGCTGGGACTACAGGCACCCGTCATCATGCCTGGATAATTTTAGTATTTTTAGTAGAGACAGGGTTTCACCATGTTGGCCAGGCTGGTCTTCAACTCCTGACCTTAACTGATTTGCCTGCCTCGGCCTCCCAAAGTGCTGGGATTTCAGGTGTGAGCCACTGTGCCTGGCCTTGAAGTTCTTTTTAACTAGGTAAGGGTGGGGGCCCAGGAACTGGTTTTTCTTATTGGTGTCTCAGGTACCTGTGTTGCAGTTAAAATTAGATGATAGATACTATTTAATTTTCAACACTCATTACTCTAACACTATCAAACTAATATAAGAGTACTGAAATTAATCTTTATATTTAAAAGAAAACAAAAGAAGAAATTCCAGCCAAAAGGCACATGCTTACCCAAAGGGATCTATGGATTCAATGCAATCTGTGCCAAAATACTGATGATATTCTTCATAGAAATGGAATTAAAAACCCTAAAATTTATATGGAACCACAAAAGTTCACAAATAGCCAATACAATCTTGATCAAAAAGAACAAAGCTAAGGCCAGGCTGATGCCTGTAATCCCAGCACTTTGACAGGCCAAGGCAGGTGAATTGCTTGAGTCCAGGAGTTTGAGACCTGCCTGGGTGACATGGTGAAACCCCATCTCTACAAAAAATACAAAAATTAAGCCGTCATGGTGGTGCTTGCCTGTAGTCCCAGCTACTCAGGAGGCTGAGGTGGGAGGATTGCTTGGGCATGGGAGGATCTCTTGAGACAGTGAGGTGGAGGTTGCAGTGAGCCAAGATTGCATCACTGTACTCCAGCCTGGGTGACAGAGCAAGACCATGTCTCAAAAAAACAAAACAAAACAGGCTGGGTGCAGTGGCTCACGCCTGTAATCCCAGCACTTTGGGAGGCTGAGGCAGACGGATCACGAAGTTAGGAGATGAAGACCATCCTGGCCAACATGGTGAAACCCCGTCTCTACTAAAAATACAAAAATTAGCTAGGCGTGATGGTGTGCACCTGTAGTCCTAACTACTCAGGAGGTTGAGGTAGGAGAATTGCTTGAACCCGGGAGGCAGAGGTTGCAGTGAGCTGAGATCGTGCCACTGCACTCCAGCCTGGTCAAAAAAAAAAAAAAAAAAAAGAAATGATAAATGTTTGAGGTGATAAATATGTTAATTACCCTAATTTTGTTATTACTCATTGTATGCATGTATCAAACAATCATACCATACACCATAAATATAGATAATTATTGTGTCAATTTAAAATAAAACCTAAAAAGGTCATGTGCTGTAATATTACAAGAAAGAGCAAAACTTTTAAGAGCTAAGGATGAACTGAAAACATTGATAGAATGTATAAAGAGTGGAATTAATGCCATAAAGCAGGGTTGTCACACTGTGCCCCTTGGTCAAATCTGGTTTGCTGCCTGTTTTTATGAGTTTGTTTGTTTGTTTGTTTTTTTGAGACAGAGTCTTGCTCTGTTGCCCAGGCTGGAGTGCAGTGGCGCGATCTCGGCTCACTGCAAGCTCCGGCTCCTGGGTTCATGCCATTCTCCTGCCTCAGCCTCCCGAGTTTTTATGAGGTTTTATTGGAACTCAGTCATACACATGGATCATGTATTATGTATGGCTCAGTAAACATAAGGAGGCTCTGTAGCCAGACCACTTGGATTCCAATTCCAATTATGCCACTCACTGGTTGGGTGCTCTTGGGCAGGTAATTTAGCCTCTCTGTGCTTAAGTATTGTTATCTGCAAAATGGAGATAGTAACAGGACCTACCTCATAGGGTTAATATGAGGATCAAATGTGATCATGTATATACCATAATTTCTTAGCACATGGCCTGAGAGGTGTTAAAAGAGTTAAAAAAGTGTTATTTTAATGGATCGGTTTGATCATCCCTAGACCAACTCATCAAATTTATTATCACAAAAAGAAGGAAAGCCAGACATCATAGGCTTCCAGATTTAATGCAATTGGAAGTTTACAATCTATGAAGTCTTCTTACCAAAAAACCTGGATCTAATTAAGCATCTACACTATAGATCCACCTTCCAGTGTACAGAAAATACGGGGAACGAAGAACATGTTACATGACACCACAAGGATGCAATCAGCAAAATCTAGAATTTCTTTAAAAAATACATCACAAGTTTGGCACAGTGGTGCGTGCCTGTAGTCTGTTACTCAGGAGGCTGAGACAGGAGGTGATATGGTTTGGATTTGTGTCCCCACCCAAATTTCATGTCGAATTGTAATCCCCAATGTTGGAGGAGGAGGGGCCTGGTAGGAGGTGATTGGATCATGGGGGCAGATTTCCCTCTTGCTGTTCTCATGATGGTGAGTTCTCACGAGATCTGATTGTTCAAACGTGTGTAGCACCTCCCCTTCTTTCTCTTCCCTGCTTCCCCTTTACCTTCTGCCGTGATTATAAGTTTCCTAAGGCCTCCCACCCATGATTCCTGTACAGCCTGCAGAACTGTGAGCCAATTAAACCTCTTTTGTTTATATATTACCCAGTCTCAGGTATTTCTTTTCTTTTTTTTTTTTTTGAGACGGAGTCTCGATCTGTCGCCCATGCTGGAGTGCAGTGGCGCGATCTCGGCTCACTGCAAGCTCCGCCTTCCGGGTTCACGCCATTCTCCTGCCTCAGCCTCCTGAGTAGCTGGGACTACAGGCGCCCGCCACCGCGCCTGGCTAATTTTTTTTTTATTTTTTTTATTTTTAGTAGAGACGGGGTTTCACCGTGTTAGCCAGGATGGTCTTGATCACCTGACGTCGTGATCCACCTGCCTCGGCCTCGTAAAGTGCTGGGATTACAGGAATGAGCCACCGTGCCCGGTCCAGTCCCAGGTATTTCTTTATAGCAGTGAGAGAACGGACCTAATACAACAGGATTGCTTGAGCCCAGGAGTTCAAGGCTGTAGTGTGGGAGGATAGTGCTTATGAATAGCCACTAAACTCCAGTCTGGGCAACATCGGGAGACCCTTTCTGTAAAAAAACAAAAACAAAAACAAAAAAAGGGTGGAGACTGTCAGATTCCAAGTACAGGTGAGGTAGAAGGGATGTGCTGTAAATATAAAAAAACACAGGATGGAAGCAAAAGAATGAAAAAATCCATACATGCAAACATTAATTGTAAGAAAGCTGAAGTGGCCATATTTACATCAGACAATGTAGACATTCTAGCAAAAATATTACTAAAAATTTTACTAAATATTACTAAAAATTTACTAAATTACTAAAATTTACTAAATTACTAAAAATTTACTAAATTACTAAAAATTTGCTAAAAAATTTACTGCAATATTACTAAAAAAAGATAAAGAGGGACATTTAGTAATGATCAAAGGATCAATTTATCAAGAAGATACGGTATTAATAGTGTATGAATTTAGTAAAAAAGCTTCAATAAACATACGGAAAAATGTGACAGAACTGAAAAAGAAAAACACAAATTCAGATTCACAGTTGGAAACTGGCCTCAGTCTCTCAGGAAATTATAGAAGAATATAGAAAATCAGAAGGGTAGAGAAGACTTGAGTAACGTTGTCAAACAATTTGCCCTGACTAAAATTTATAGACAGTTCACCTGACTGCCAAATATATGTTCTATTAGTGTGTATAGGGAACATTCAGTAAGATAGACCATATGCTGCACTATAATATAAATCTTAATAAACTTAAAAGGATTGAAATACTATAGAGTATATTATGTATAGATTCTGTATTAAATTAGAACTCAATGACAAGATGATATCTGGAAAATTTCCAAATACTTGGAAATTAGAACACACATGTCTATATAAGCCACAGATCCAAGAAGAGATCATAAGAAATGTTAGAAAATGTTTTATACCGAATGAAAATGAAATCATAACATTGAACTTGTGGGATGCAGCTAAAGCAGTGATTAGAGGGAAATTTATGCCTTTGTCCACTTTATCAATGCCCAACCTCACTGGCATGACTAACTAGCAGGAAAGCTGATGTTCTTCACCCTGGAGCCAAACACACACCTAAGACTTTGAGAAGCTGAAAATAGGGAGCCAGTGACAGCCAATGGCTGCTTATATTAGAAAACGAAAAAACGTTTGAAATGAGGTATATGTTGCCTTGAAAATCCAAGGAAGCCTGTTTGGTGCCATGTTTCTTTCTTAGTGGCTGGAGGGGTCAGATGCAGCCCCTTCCCTTTACTTTGGGAGGTGTATCTTGACATGCCCCAGATCAATAGAAATTTGAATTTCTGTCCCACCCTCTGGCATGCATGCGTCTTACTGAAATGCTGACAGTAGACACTAATTCCTGCTCATCAGATCCAATCAGCTTGGTATCATCAAAACACTCGATGGGAGTCATAGCCTGGTGAATGGAGAGGCAGCCAAGATTTCTGCAGATCAGATTATGACATAAAATCAGAAGGTTGATAAAGTTCTGAGGTGAGAGAGTGATGGTGAATTGCTGCCCCAGCCAGCTGGAAGCAAACTGTTCCTCATGGTCTTCACTAACCACGTGTAACCACGTAGCCAGAGAACGCATTCATCAGACCAATAGCTGAATACCAGCAATGAAACCGTTTCTGAAACAGCAGCTTCACCTCTGATGAAGTTTATAATAATCCACTGTCATTCTCCCAGAAACTGCCTGTCTTCTGCACAGGCAAAATTATGTAATTTGAATGGAAATGGGGTGGGTGGGAGCAGGGGGAGTCACCATCCTGCATCTTTCATGCTTTTTTTTTTGTTTTTTTGTTTTTGTTTTTTGTTTTTTTATTTTTGAGACAGAGTCTCACTCTGTCGCCAGGCTGGAGTGTAGTGGCGTGATCTCGGTTCACTGCAACCTCTACCTCCTGGGTTCAAGCGATTGTCCTGCCTCAGCCTCCCGAGTAGCTGGGACTACAGGCTTGCGGCACCACGCCCAGCTAATTTTTGTAGTTTTAGTAGAGACGGGGTTTTACCATGTTGGCAAGGATGGTCTTGATCTCTTGACCTCGTGATCCGTCTGCCTCAGCCTCCCAAAGTGCTGGGATTACAGGCACGGTGGTTCATGTTCTTGATGGTAGCACTAAACTCTGCAATTCCTCCAGCAATGTGAAATGCCTTTTTCCTATGTTGGTAGATAGAGGCAGTTTCAGTGCCTTCTGCTTGGCTCAGAGAATCCATGTAGGGACTCTGCCAGTTTCTAGTAGATATATTCAAATGATGCATTCTGGAACTGAAGAAATAACTACAGGATTCAAGAACCCACTGGCTTATCTGAGACGAACCTATGCCCAAACTCGACTGATCATTTTTTCTATCAACTAGTATTCTAGCTGATAGACATAGTGGTATTTTAGCTCTCCAGGAATTAGTGTCAGTTCAGAGCCATTGACCCGCAATTGCTGAGTAGTCGTTATTTCCCTTTCTTCAGTGCATAGTCAATATACAACCTAGTAAATATCCATGAGATTCTTTGGGAAGGTCAGGAGGACGAGTTACAGTACAAACTCTGTGGCTCAGAGTTCAGGTGTACCTGGACCCACTTTCATTCAAGGAGCTCTGGGTCTGTGAACTGGCTCAACTCTAGGAATTGGTTGGGAGGCTGAAACTCCCTATTAAAATGATTTTTCTTTACTGCTCTTCGCCAGACCTAGAGCTTTCCTGCTTGTAAAAATCAAGTAAGGCTTCAGTAGGCTGCCATGTGTTTCAGCTCTAGGGATGCTGTCACTGACTAATCATTGCCCAAGATCTCTGAGGACAGACCATCTGGATGACTGTGCCAGTTCTGCTGCCCATGATGGCAGCTGGTCCCACACTGGCTTTGGCAATTAAGTGCCACCACTCAGTCATCAGATTCTATCATTCCCAGTGAATTCAGCGAGTAAAGCTTAATGACAGCAACTTCCCCACCATCATTACCGACCTAGACTCCCCAAGGATTAAGAAGCCCCCACCCCCGACCCCCACCGTCCTGACAAATGGACTTCTCAGTCTTGTGAGGGGGTTTTCTTCAGATTCTGAGAGCCAGAGTTAGGCGATGGGTGGACAGGTTTTACATGAAAAATCTACTCCAGCATTCTAAGCCTTTAGGAGACATTTTTCCAAAGTGTACTGAGAAAGTTCTGGCATTTCACCTGTAGAAACATGCCTAGCCATTTGAACAAGCAAACTGACTTTAGAATTGTGATGTGGTAAACCTGATTAAAAATTTTGGCCTGATCCAACATTATTTTCCTTCCAATCTAATCCAGTATCCCTTTGATCCATTCCTATATAAGTTCTACAGATTTCTGCCAATGTCACTTGGCAAAAATCTTGCAACTTTTATGGTGCGTGTTGTGCCTTATTAGGCCTCAAACCCCTCTGAACCTTACTTACCTTTCAGGGCCGGGCAGGCCGAGTCTGGGTTACAGGTCTAGAAGCAGTGACAGGTGAGGTGGGGGGTAGATCCTGAGGAGGATCCCCAGCTCTTTGCAAATCAGCTTCCACTGGTGAGGCCATCATAGATTCATCAGGCAAGATTAACCCTCTGAGTAAGCACAGGTGGATTCCTTCTACTGGCCAAAGAAGGCTCAGCAGAATTCAGGGGTTTAAGGTCTTCAGCTTCATGAAAATCTGCCCATTTGCTCCCATTCCATTCTTCAGCATCCCACTCCTTTCCAATTAGTTCTCTACCTTTACCATGAGAGACTCTGCAGAGTTGAGAATAGAATCTGCATTGTTTCAGTCACCTGCAAGCTTATACTTTGAGTTTAGCTTTCAGAAATCTTGGCTGTGTGGCTACGAGAGATAAGGGTTTCTTGCAGGGTGGCCATATAAGATTTCTGGTCCCTGGCCTGGTCTTTGAGCTGGAGAAAACCCTAAACTGATGACTTTGTTTTCCTTAAATCCAATCAGATCAGGATTTCTTGTGCCAGCCAAGATGGTGACAGCCCATTACAGTCTCTGTCTGCCACAGCTACAAATAAAAACCAGACAAGCTACCAAAAACAACTTCCTAAGGGCTTTGTTTTTTTTTTTTTAATTTTTTTTAGAGATGGGGGACTCACTTTGTTGTCCAGGCTGGTCTCAAACTCCTGGGTTTAAGCGATTTTCACAAGTAGCTGGGATTACAGGTGTGTGCCACTGCACCCAGCAACTTCCTAAGGACTCGGAAAAGTTAACAATGGCAGGAAGATTGGAGAGAGGAACCAAAACTTGAAGAACCCTATATATTTTTCAATACTCTTATATTTAGGAATAGAATCAGTCAATATAAATTGTAAATGAAATGCTTCTTCACAGCCTTTGGAGGATGGGTTATACCAGTGATTGCCAAACTTGCAGCAATAGTTAAAAAAAATTATAGGGCTGCCTCCCCGTCTCTCCCTGGAGCCCAGAATCTCCAGGAGAAACCCAGAAATATACATGTTTAACAAAACCTTGATTTCTCGAGTTAGTAAATTTAGGAAAAATGGCTTATCCAAGCAAATAGAATTGGATTTCCTAAAAATTTAGTCCTCACCCAAGCTATTTATTTTGGAGGCAAAAGAAGAGTATCTTATGACCTAGAAGACTCTAAAAATGTGGTATGAAGACTGTCTTTATTAGAAAAACCAGGGGTTAACACATCTCATTTAACAATGTGTAGGGGGTCCCCAACTACACCACTTTCCAAATAGCGGTCTTATCAGATTTTAAAATGCTGATACAAAAGTTATGATCTTATAAAATGACATTTACTTCCAACATGGTGAAACCCCATCTTTACTAAAAATATTTTAAAAACCAGCTGGGTGTGGTGGTGGGCACCTGTAATCCCAGCTACTCTGGAGGCTGAGGCCAGAGAATTGCTTGAACCCAGGAGACGGAGATGGCAGTGAGACAACACGGTGCCACTGCACTCTAGCCTCGGGGACAGAGTGAGACTCCGTCTCAAAAAACAACAACAACAAAAAACCACATGTGGTAGTTAGTTTAAAAATCACAGACCTTAGGCTAGGTAATCAGCAAATATTTGCTAAATGAGTAATAGAAACTTTGTCAATATCATAGAGGTTCTTACAATAGATTCAAAAGGTAATTGGAACCAACATGCAATAAAAAGAGATTAACACAAAAATAGATAAGTGGATTACTATTTAATGAATATTTTTGGAAAAACTCTATTTCAGTTTAGAAAAGAATGAACTGAGCTCCTATATTTTCATTCTACACATTGCAGTGAATTCCAGATGGGACTCAAAGACTTAGCAACAACAACAGAACAGAACAGAATAATTTATATTTTCTGGCTCTTGCTGGGGAAATACATTCTAAATATTGAAGAAAAAGGAAATACTTTCAGGGAATGCATTTCTGAATATATATGTAAACTTTGCAAAGCTTTTTCTGTAATGAAATCTTTTAATATTTTGGTCAAGCAACAGAATGGAGGAAAAACAAATAATAAGCAAATACTTGCTTATTAATATGTTTAGGAAACACTTGGATAACACACATACACATATGAATATATACACACACACATATATATATATGTTCTACATGATCATACTAAAATTTAGATGACACTTCGTCCAGGAAGAAATATTGAAGAAAATGCAATCATACAAACACGACATTGCCACAGGGGAAAACATAACATCCATGGTAAATATAACGATACAAAAATCTGTTACATTTAGTAAAAAGTGCAGAAAACCGGCAAGAAAAATGCAGGAGCCTGATTTTGGTAGAAAGTGGCAAAAAGGCTCTAAATGCCCAGTGCAAATGGCTTGAAATTCCATTCCCAGGCCTGGGGCTCCACATTTCCAGGGGCTCTGCTTTCCAAAAGATATGGTTCAATGTCCCCTAGGTATAGTGCCTTCGGTCTGGACTGCAGATGGAGACCTGGGTCATCCCAGAAGCTTTGTAGTGTGAGAGATCAAACTGGCTGCTCTGCCAGGCCTCACCTATTTCCAGACTGGATGATTCCTGATACTTTTACTTTTGAGCCCAAACTAACTTCTGCATGGAGGTTCAGTACAGGTCAGGTGAGTGACGAATCTCCTGACAGGGCTACAGTGAACTTTCACAAGGTTAAACCTTCTAAACTTGGGAAGCTGCTTTGCAAAAATAAATAAATAAAATAAAAATCCCTTACTCAATTGTTGACTGGGTATTATTCCGGAAACAGGAAACAGGTTTTTCATTTCTGCCAGGTTGTGCCCCAGCTTCCATTTGCTAAGCAGCTTAGGGGAACATTGGATTAAAAACCACCCGTAAAGAAAAGGCATTAAGAAATTGATTTGAACGATTTGAAATTATTATCTTGAAAGATCAAAGAAACAGTGATTATGAACACCGGCTCTGGTGGGAAGCGGTTCTTGAAAGTTAAAGCATGGGGGAACTCGAGTACTCTGGAGCATCATCAGCATCTGTACAATGCAAGTGAACTCTGGAAGCTAGACGCATGCTTTGCACGTGGACACAGACACATGCTTGCACAGGACACATTTGCAATACATACATGTTTATACATGGACACATGTTTTGCACACGCTTGCACAGGACACGCTTGCACAGGACACATGCACAGGATGCATGTTTTGTACAGGACACATGTTTTGCACATGGAAACACATATCCATGCTTTGCAAAGGGACACAGGGAAGCATGCTTACAATGGATACAAGTTTACACACGGACGCATGTTTTGCACAGGACATATGCACAGGATGCATGTTTTGCACACGGACACACACGTTTACATAGGACAAGTGCACAGGACACGTTTTGCACCGGACGTATTCTGTGCACGGGACGCACGGTTTGCAGATGCAAGCACACACACTCCTCGGCGCGACGGGCGAAGCGGGGTGGGCAGCGACAGCGGAGTCCGGACCCAGGGACAGCGCCTCCGGGAACCTCGCCAAGGCGGCGGGAACTACAACTCCCGGCTCGGTCGCCTCGGGACGACGCGCGGCCCAGCGCAGACTGGCCCCGCCCAGCGGCCCCGCGCGGCCCGGCCCAGGTCCCGGCGCCCAGAGTCGCCGCGCGGCCGCCGGTGAGCCGCATGGAGCCCCGGGCGGCGGACGGCTGCTTCCTGGGCGACGTGGGTACGTGCGGGCGCCGCGGAGGTCAGAGCGAGGCAGCGGCGCCGGCTCCTGAGGCCGGCCGCGTATCCGATGGCCTGCGCCGGGGAGGTGGTGGCGCGCCCCGCGCTGGCTCCGTGGGCGGGGGCGTTTGGCGGGGTGGGCCGCGGTGAAAGCAGGGTCCCAGTGGTGCCGCGCATCCCAGACGGGCTCTCATGTCTGGTGCCTTGTCCCAGGCCAGCGCACTGCGGGGTTGCAGTCCGTGCGGCTCGCCAGGTGTGGGGTTTCGCAACCGCAAACCCACCGAGCGCCGCGCGCCCTGGGGAAGGTGCGGGACGCGTGCGGGGCCGTTGCCCAGTGGCGGGGGAGAGCCTGGGAAACGCCCACGGTGCTCCCTCTCGGGGAAGCCAGGCGCGAGCCCACGGTAAGAGCTAAACCCCCCTCCACTGGCGCGGGTGAGGCCGTGGCGCAGTGTCCGAGCATCCTGCAGAGGCGTCCGCGTGACCCCGACTCCGCTCCAGTGAAGGTGGCCTTGGGGCACCCCGGCACACTCCGAAAAGTGCCATCCCAGTTCGCAGCCTACTTTACCAAAATCCGAGCAGCCCAAGAATGAAATGGATTTGAGGGAAGGACACTCTTTGGGGAAGCAAATTTTTTTGCTGCCTATGAAGCAATAATATGGTCACTGAAATGAGCGACGGAAGCACTATGAAAGCCTAAAAAGAAAAAAAAAATCTAAAGCATATTCATCCTGGTAAAAACAGTAGTGCACCTAAGAGGGAAAAGTCTTAAGGGTAAATTTAGCTGAAGAGGAAGTTGCAGTCATAGCAAGGCAAAGATATTTTAATTGACTTTGCAAAATAACCACCTTTGACATGATCAAAGGTATCTAATAAGCATGTGTTTTTACTTGGCATTCCAGTCCAGGCAAGCACAAGACTTTGACCCTGACACTGTGATCTGCATTTGATTAGCTTAATTGAGTAAGCAGTGAATAGCTAACGGCAGAAGCTTATTTAAACACATATTTTAATATTTCTGTTCATGGCATCACTTCTGAGCATGTCTTCTGCATCGTTTGTTATGGAATGCATCTGTAGAAGAAAGGCACATTTTAAACTAATGAATCCGCAACTTTTGAGGTTCACTGGTATTTTTGACATTGTCATTTTTTATTTAATATATTTCTCCCCAAATAAGTTCTGCTGATGTTTTTTATTCCCAGTGTAATGAATAAGCTGAATGTGTTGGATCCAAAACAATACTGCCATTCCAGCAGCACCAGAGGCGAACCGTAGGAGCTTTAGACAATTTTAACATTCTGACCTCAAATTCTGGATGTGTGGTGTACCGCGACCAAAACATTTAGGTTTTGGGCTGTTGCGCAGTCTCTCATGCCTGTAATGCCAGCACTTTGGGAGGCCGAGGCAGGTGGATCACTTGAAGTCAGGAGTTCGAGACCAGCCTGGCCAACATGGCGAAACCCCGTCTCTACTAAAAATACAAAAATTAGCCGAGCATTGTGGCGGGTGCCTGTAGTTCCAGCTACTTGGGAGACTGAGGCAGAAGAATCACTCGAACCTGGAAGGCAGAGGTTGCAGTAAGCCGAGATTGGGCCATTGCACTCCAGCCTGGGTGACAAGAGCAAAACTCTGTCTCAAAATAAATAAATAAAAATACAAAAATTAGCCAAGCATAGTGGCGGGCACCTGTAATCTCAGCTACTGGGGAGGCTGAGGCAGGAGAATCACTTGAACCTGATAGGCAGAGGTTGTAGTGAGCTGAGATCATGCCATTGCACTCCAGCCTGGGCGACAGAGTGAGACTCCGTCTCAAAAATAAATAAAATAAATAAATAAAGAAATAAAGAAATTCTGCATTCCCTATGGACGTCCTTCTGTGGTAGATGAACCTCTAACCTACTGGCTGCTCCCCCACTCCCCCGTACGTTCCCCCCAGGGTCCTCCAGTAGAATTGTTTTTGTTTAAATCAGATTTCAGTGTTGACATTATTGTGACTGTGAATATTGCAGCTGAGCCACTTGCTATGTGGGGACTATGTTTCTCTTTTTGTGTAATGTCTTGCTTTTCTTGGACATGGCGGGTGTTCTTTTTGTTTACCTGTGGGTTCGGTGTTCTCCATGCCTAATCCCTAATTTATCCCCAGACAGTCTTCTTAGGCCCCTCAGGTAAGCAATGAGTCCTGTGTTCTCTCTCTCCTGGTTCAGTGTTTGGAGACGTGTGCCCTGCAGCCTTGGGTCTTCCAGCTCTGCCTGCTGCTGCTCTGGGAAGCCGGGGTGGGGGTGGGGCAGGGGTGTCTTCCTGTTGTTTATGGGGATTTGCGCATCCCTTTGCGTTCAGTGCCCTCCCAGGGGTAGTTCAGATTCCCTGCTCTTTGCTGGTCCCAACCCCGGGTGCCAAGCCCGCCTTCTGTATCCTGGTTAGCCACTGCACCAGCCTGCTCTCCAGCTCCCCCGATGGTCTGGAAATCACTCCCCAGCCTGTTTGTTTTCTACTTGTTTATATGGATTTATGTCTCCCCATCCAGGTACTCTCAGTTGAGTGAGATCTTTGCTGAGGGGCAGAGAAGATCCTCCGTGTTTAATCAGAAACACAGCTCTATCGCTCTTGATTTCAGTGTCAGAGCGGGGAGAGGGAGAATCCACTAGGGTAGCAGTCCAGGGCATTTCTAAAGGGTAGAGAGTTACTTGGAGTGGGCGGCTATTTTATCCTAAAATAGGAATTCAAAGAGGGCCTGTTGACACACCAGAAAAGCCTATTTAGGGCCAATGGAAGTATCAGAGGAAATTAGCAAGTTACAAAGGCTTAGGAAGCATGTTTATGGGCAAAACAGTACCTCTATCCTCCTCCTCGACTCGGCAGCCCTGGGAGACATTGCCTGCTGTCCTAAGGAAACTGAGGCTTAGGTGATTTAGGGTGAAAAGCGTCCCTCAGGTCCCTTAACTGAGACAGGGAGGATGCAGGATCAGAGCTCAGGGGTCCTGAGTCAGGGCCTGAGCTCCCACAGTGCCTTGAGGGTGGGACTGGGGGACCCTCCCCATGCTCCCTGGGCCATAGCCTTTGGGGTGGACCAGGGGCAAGGGAGGAGTCGGGGTAGCAGATAATTGGGTGAGTGATGAGGGAGTCAGGGGAGGAGACATTGAAGGATAATGCAGCGAATCCAGTGTGGTTTTAGCGTCCTGCAGGTGGAAGGAAATGCCTGTTATTCACCAAGCTCTCCTGACACCTTCGGTCCTTTCTCCCAGTTCCTTTACTCCTTAGCCCACCTATTTTCACCTCTTTTCTCCTTGTCTTCTGCTTTCATTTATTCTTTCCCTTTCTTTTCTCCACTCTTACTGAGTTTTGACCATTTTGTCCCTCTAAGAAGGCAAATACTGGCATTTTTGCTTCATTGAACACATCTTAAAATCAGTCTGCTGTTTGACCTCAAGTTTACCGACAAACTATATTTTGGGGATTCATAATGAAAACATTTAAAAAGACATGGTTGAAAAATATCACTGTAGCAACAAAACACTGAGCCCAGACTTGTAAGTGGGAGTTTCTACATAGAAAAATAAAGATCCATATTTTTTTTCCTTGGGTTTCAAGGACACTAAAACTGAAATTTGAGCTGCGCTATTAAAATTTGGTGATAGTGGTTAAGTGCCATGCGTTAGGCACCCTCTTTGTGCTGGGGTTGTCACGTACACTGTCTTTAGTTGTCACCATGAGATCCTTCATTTATCTTTTCCTCTGTGGTCTCTTTGTCTTTGTGGATTTAGCCCCCATTTTATTCCCTTACCGTCACTTGTGTGTGGTTTGGACAGCAGGCAGAGATGAATGGATGCTACATTTGGCTTTTTCTGGGAGTGTTAATCATCCAGGATCTCATCTCTTCTCTTCTCTTCTCTTCTCTTCTCTTCTCTTCTCTTCTCTTCTCTTCTCTTCTCTTCTCTTCTCTTCTCCCCTCCCCTCCCCTCCCCTCCCCTCCCCCCCCCTTCTCGACAGAGTCTCAGTCTGTCGCCCAGGCTGGAGTGCAGTGGCACGATCTCAGCTCACTGCAGTCTCCACTGCTTGGTTCAAGCGATTCTCCTGTCTCAGCCTCCTGAGTAGCTGGGATTATTACTGGGATTACAGGTGCATGCCACCACACCCAGCTAATTTTTGTATTTTTAGTAGAGATGGGGTTTTGCCATGTTGGCCAGGCTGATCTCGAACTCTTGACCTCAGGTGATCCGCCTGCCTCAGCCTCCCGAAGTGCTGGGATTACAGGCGTGAGCCACTGCGCCCAGCCCATCGTCCAGCATTTCTAAGGCCTTTTCAGTTCTGACAGTCAGCGCGTGTTCATGAATCCTTAGCTTTCTGGGACCCTGGGGGGCTATGTCACTCAGGACTCTTGACTTTTCCCTGAGAGCTGAGGATGAGCCCATTGAGAGCAGCATCAGAAAACCCTCCCTGGGGGCTTCCGGTGCCTGCCTTGGTTCTTCCAGGGTGGGTTCCCCAAGTGTGTGCTCGCCCGCCCCAGCCCGGCTTTATGGGTGGGTCAGGGTGGAGGGCCCACCCTCACCATTTCAAGAATGCTTACTGGGGTTTTGCAGGGAGGGCTTCTTACAGAGGCTGCTGGTTGTTTTTGACGCAGAAATGACATTTCTGCAGCCAGGACCCCAGACTCCCCTTGGTGATTTACTCGGAACAAAATTTCTGACTCCAGCAACATTTAAGAGTGCATTCTGGGCTGGGCCTGGGGCTCATGCCTGTAATCCCAGCACTTAGGGAGGCCAAGGCGGGAGGATCACTTGAACCCAGGAGTTTGAGACCAGCCTGGGCAACATGGTGAAACCCTGTCTCTACAGAAAATACAAAAATTATCCAGTGTGGTGGTGGTGCATGGGCCTGTAGTCCCAGCTACTTGGGAGGCTGAGGTGGGAGGATCACTTGAACCTAGGAGGTTGAGGCTGCAGTGAGCCCTGATCACACCACTGCACTTCAGCTTGGGTGACAGCGAGACCCTGTTTCAAAAATAAATAAATAAACAATAAGAAAACAAAATAGGAAAAAAGGTGCATCTTGGGTATTTGACCTGGATTCAAAGCCAGCATGCTACTGGATCAGCTTTGTCTGGAAGGTGTCCCTGGTGGCATTTGAGAATGCTCTTTGTTGGAGTGGGCCCTGACCCTGGAGAGGCCCCAGGCTCGGCGGGGCGGGGTTGGGGGCAAGTGGCTCTGCTGCTTTTATGGTTGCAGTCCCTGTGTGGGTCAAGTGAGGCCCGCCAGTGTGGGTGCAGGCAGGGCAGTGTGGAGGATGGGCTCTGGAGGTGCCCAGCTCTGCAGTGTGCAGGGGCCAGCAGGCCAGCTGCCTCCTAGACACAGGCTCTCTAGGGGGTGGCCGGGCCTGGGCACAGAGCTGCCACTTGGGCCCAACGAGTGGGGCTCTGGCTCTGGGATGACTGAGGAGATACTGGCAAACCAGCTGCCTAGGGGGAAAATAAAGAAAAAGAAACAAAAATAAAAGTCTGCTTTGCTGCTTTCCCTGGTCTAAATACTCACATCCTGGCTGCTTTCAAGCTGCTGGTGGTCTCCGGCCAGCAGAACCTGGCTGTGCAGCAGCCAGCTGGCGAGATGGCCCGGCACACTGCTGGGTGGCTTGCAAGGCAGGGAGCGATGGAGGGGCTCTGGTCTCAGAGGGCCCGGGAACTGAGCAGAAAAATTGGGCAGAGACTCAATCAGTCACCCGACTTAGGTAAGGATTGAGTTACTGGAGCTGGAATGCAAGATTGGGGGGCTTGCTATGGAACAAAGATGAGATGGTAGAACCCGCACCTGCCCTCCCCACAGGACTGGTAGGGTAATAATGACAGCAATGATCCTGGAGCCATGGCAGTGCCTGTTACTCACAGCATTTACAGGTGGCCAGGCACGATTTTCTTCAGTCTTCACAGCACCCATTTGAGGAGAGAGGAGGCCGAGGTTTGGAGAGGGTAAGCTGTGAGACGAGCTTTGAACTCACGAGCAGGGTGGTTCCTGCAGCTTGCCCCTGTAGAGTCTGCTCCCTGAGGGTAGGCTGACCCTGAGCCACTTGACCTGTTCAGCCAGGGCTTCCTAATCTCAAAGGACAGGTCAGTCCTGGGGCAGGGCACAGCCTTAGATGGGAGGGTGTCGGGGCCCCAGCAAAGGGGCAAGAGAGGGGAAGAGGAGCTGGGGTCCAGAAAGGTCCACACCTGGCACACGGTCCTAGCCAGTAAGGTCGTATCGTGGGTGGAAGAGTGGAGAGAACGTTCTGAAGCACGTGTCATTCCTTCTCAAGGTGACGTCTGCCGTAGTCTGCAGTAGATACATAGGTGACATCTGTGAAACTCTAGTTTTCAGGGCAAAGGCTTTTGCTTGGCTATTCATGAGCTCAGGCCTGCAGGCGGCAGGTAAACAGGAGGAGCCATAGTGTGTAACACCGTGACCCTGACCTGAAGCAGAGGAGGAAGTGGGTAGAATCCAGCCATCAGGACTGGGTCATGAGTCACCAGGGCTGCAGCCTTGGCTCTTGTTGCAACACAAGTTCTTCATTTAATGGATGCACGAGCCCCCGCTTGGCCAGAGTGTGCAAGCATCATGTTAGGTCTCAGGCCACTGTCCTGGGCTGGAAAGTGGAGCAGGGGACAGAACCTAGCGGCAGGGGTCCAAGTTCAGTCTGGCAGGGGAAGATGCGTCTGGGGAGTGCTTATTCATTCAGATACCTGCACGAGCAGCCTGTGTGGGGAGGCTGGCTAGCTGTGGTACTATTCCCAAGGTGACAGGGGATGGCCTTAGGGAAGGCCCAGGGAAGGGAGAATGCTGATCAGCTGGTGGTGGGGCAATAGTGTGGAGATGGCGTGGGGGGGTGGGCTGCATGCTCGGGAGGCTTCCTGAAGGAGCAGGGGTCCCCTCAGTCGAGGAATTTCAGCCGGAAGCAAGGTGGGGAATGGGGCTGAGAAGAGCTTTCCAGGCAGGGGAAGGAACAGCATACGCAAAGCATGGGACTTGCAGCCACTGGACTCTGTGTGAGTCGGTAGAGTTTGGTGTCACTGGACACGGCTGTGTGCATGACGGGGAGCCTGGGGACAGGGCCTGTGACTGCATGGTCGTGGACCTTGTTCCTTGCCTGGGTTCCACCCTGGAGGAGGGAGCCCTTGTGAGCAGGCCCTGTCAGACTGGCTTGTCAATCATCTGCATTAGGGAGGGGGCAACCTATTATGTGGCAGCAGTGGGTGGGATTTAGGGGCAGAACGTGAGTCCCGGAGGGAACTCGCCAGCACGGCATGGAGTCTCGGGTTTCCAAGGCGGTGCTCCGCCAAGGGAGAGGGTGCAGGGATTGGGGAGGGGGGGCGTCTTGCCACCACAGGGAGCCTGGCACAGGGGCTGGAAGCAGCCTGCAATCCATCCTGGCCAGTCCATTCACTAACAGACAGCATTTCCTGTGCTCACTCCTCATCCATTTAAGGTCCGTGACCATAAGCTGTCCTTCCCGATTCTTTTCACCTGGGACACTGACCCTGCCATTGCAGGGCTGAGTCACATTGCTCTGTGGTGGTGGGTGCTGGGGGCTGATGTTTATGAAGAGAGTGGGTCTCTTCGCCCCCTGGAAGGGCCATCGGTGGTTTGGGGGTGTCAGGAAAGGTGACGAGGTGCACCCCAGGCACCTGCTGTCCTCTAGCCTTCTATCCCTCCCTTCCCCACTGTAAATCTCCTATGAGGACAGCCTGCGGGTGACAGTCCCCCCATGCTCTAGGTCCTCCAGCTTCTGGTTACTTAAAAATTTTTTTTTTCTATTTTTAATTGTAGTAGAGAGCACAGAACACAAAAGTTACCACCTTAGCCATTTCAAGTGTCCACTTCAGTAGGGTTGAGTACATTTACATTTTTGTGTAACAGATCTCTAGAACTTTTTCATCCTGTAAAACTGAAATTCTGTCCCCATGAAACACTAACTCCCCATTTCTCCTCCCCCAAGCCCCTGGCAACTACCTTTCTACTTTCCATCTCCATGAATTTGACTACTCGAGGGACCTCACATAAGTGGAATCATACAGTATTTGGCTTTTCAGAAATGGCTTATTTGGTTTTGTTTTTTTTTTTTTTTTCAGACAAAGTCACCCAGGCCGTAGTGCAATGGCACGATTTTGGCTCACTGCAACCTCCACCTCCTGGGTTCAAGTGATTCTCCTGCCTTAGCCTCCATAGTAGCTGGGATTATAGGCATGGGCCACCATGCCCAGCTAATTTTTGTAATTTTAGTAGAGATGGGGTTTCACCATATTGCCTGCCTCGGCCTCCCAAAGTGCTGGGATTAGAGTTTTGAGCCACTGCACCTGGCCAGAAATAGCGTATTTATTTATTTATTTTTGAGACAGAGTCTCTCTCTGTCACCCAGGCTGGAGTGCAGTGGTGTGATCTCAGTTCACTGCAACCTCTGTCTCCTGGGTTCATGCGATTCTCGTGCCTCAGCCTCTGAGTAGCTGGCACTACTGAAGCACCATGGATTACAGCCACCATGCCTGGCTAATTTTTGTATTCTTAGTAGAGACAGGGTTTCCCCATGTTGGCCATGCTGGTCTCGAACTCCTAACCTCAAGTGATCTGCCCGCCTCGGCCTCCCAAAGTGCTGGGATTACAGGTGTGAGCCAGCGTGCCTGGCCTAGAAATGGCTTGTTTGACTCAGCATAATGTCCTCAAGGTTCATCCATGTTGTAGCATGGGACAGGATTTCCTTCATTCCCAACGCTGAATAATATTCCACTGGACACTTGGATTGTTGAGAATAATGCTGCTATGAATGTGGGTGTACAAATGAATCTCTCCTCAAGACCCTGCTTTCAATTCTTCTGGAGATATGCCCAGCAGTGGAGTTGCTGGATCATATGATATCCTATGTTTCATTTTTTAGGAACTGCCATACAGTCTTCCACAGTGGCTAGACCATTTTATATTCCCATCATCAGTGCACAAGAGTACCACTTTCTCCACATTCTCGCCAACACGTATTTGGTTTTTTTTGATAATCCTAACAGGTGTGAGGTAGTATCTTATTGTGGTTTTGATTTGCATTTCTTTAATGATTAGTGACCTTGAATACCTTTTTTTTTTATGTTTGTGGCTGTGTGCATCCTGTTTAGAGAAATGTCTGTTCAACTCGTTTGCCCATTTTTAAACCTGGTTATTTGTTTTTTTTGTTTTTGAGTTGCAGGAGTTCTTTATATATTCTGGACTAACCCCTTTTCAGATATATGACTTGCAAATATTTTCTCCCATTCTGTGGGTTGCCATTTCACTCTGATTGTGCCCTTTGATGCACGGAAGTTTCTTTTTTCTTTTTTTCTTATCATGTCTGCTGCTAATTTTTGCCCTGAATTGCTGCAGTAAGACTACAGCAGCTGATGTGATTCACTAGAAATAAGTTGCATTTCCTTTGTAGACTGGTGATACAGAGAAATAAAATTAGATTTTCTTTTAAAAATTTTATGTCTAGTTGTAACTGAACCCAGATTTGGCTGCTTACTGCTCAAAAGCCAAATACGAGAGACAAGAGTTGGTGGCAGGTTTATCTGGAGAGCCAGCAAACCAGGAAGATGGTAGATAAGTGTCTAAAGTGCCGTCTAAGTCAGTACAGGTTTCGGGTTCTTAATTATGTTAAGGGCAGTGGGAAAAAGAGGCTGTTGGGATCAAGAGGTAACCAAGGACCAGTGACATCTGGGCACCAGTGAAGGTCCTAGGAGGTTGGGAACATCTTTGTCCTTGATCAGGTCGCAGTGCTCCTATAAATCTTTAACAAAACATAGCTAGTTGTTTACATGCTTTCCTTTTAATCCCAGAGTTAATTTCAAAGCTACACGTTTGCTCTTTTTGCATATTATCTTAATGCTCTAAAATTATCCTAGCCTCTGTGTAAGAATGGATAAAGGCCCCTCAAACAAAAATGTTAGTTCTTTTGCTGTTTCACTGCTACAGACTTTTTTTTTTTTTCTTGAGACGGAGTCTTGCTCGGTTGCCCAGGCTGGAATGCAATGGTGCGATCTCAGCTCACTGCAATCTCCGCCTCCTGGGTTCAAGCGATTCTGCTGCCTCCGCCTCCTGAGTAGCTGGGATTACAGGCACGTGCCACCACGGCCGGCTAATTCTTTGTATTTTTAGTAGAGATGGGGTTTCACCATGTTGGCCAGGCTGGTCTCAAACTCCTGACCTCGTGATCCACCCGCCTTGGCCTCCCAAAGTGCTGGGATTACAGGCTTGAACCACCTTGACCAGTCAGACTTTATAATTGGTTTTAGTAACTCCTTCCATTCATTTACTCATCCACTCACTCACTGAGCAACCACGTGGATACCAGCATCTTCTTGGACAGTGCCAGGTTCTGGGGTACAGAGGTGAATAAGCGGTGCCTGAGATAGACCCGGCTGCAGCTCTGCGGCCTCTGTGACCTTCCCTGGCCATCCCTGGGCACCGGGGCTCTTAATTCTGAGTCCCTGTCACCAGACATGATCGCAGTTGTCATGTTGTGAATTATCTGCGCATTTATTCCCTGGTCCCTGACTGTGAGCTGCCTATTGCTGCATCTTAGTCATCTTTGCGTGTGGCAGCGGAAGACGCTAAATCCACCTGGACGTCTTGTGAATGGAGGCACGTCGGGAACGCGCCTTCCCGGCTCAGGTGGCCTCCTGAGATGCACTTTCTTTTTTTGCTGCAAGACCTAGGCCTTACCCTGCCTTCCTCTTCTTTTTCAAGTGGCAGCCTCTCCTTCTACCCTTAGGATTTTGCTCCCTGCGGATTGATTTTAAAGTGACACTAAGCCACTTCTCACTAACCTCAGGAGGGCAGTGGGTTACTGTTCATTACTACTGGTGGGGCTGAGGGCCACCTGGAGACGGTGAGTAGAAAGTTCCACAAGCTTGACTTTTACATTTTGTGGGGATCGAATCTTCCTTTGTGGTTCAGTTCTCCCTAGTCCCCACTTCCACTGACATAGGGTCACCCGGGCTCTTTGGCTGTGGACAAGACAGATAGCTACAATTGGAGGCAAAAATACTACAAACAGACAGTGTTTATTGAGCACTGATTCGGTGCCAGGCCCCACCCTTTAAGTGCATCTACCTATTTCAATTCACTGAATGTTCATAGTCCACCTATGAAGAGAAACTATTGTTATCACAACTTACAGGTAAAGAAACTGACACTCAGGGAAGTTGTGTTTTGGGTAAGCTGATAAAAGGCTGAGCTGAGTTTCCACCAAGCAGTTCTGAGCAGTTGTGGCTCCAGGGAACTCTTAACCCTGTACTCAGTGCCCAAGGCAGAGGTGGGGGAAGGTGGCAATGTGGGGATCTCTAAAAGCAGAGTCGTCAGCACTAACTGATGAGGCTACCCACCTGCAGAGGAAATTCGATGCAGACACTTTTTTTTTTTTTTTAAAGACAGAGTTTCACTCTTGTTGCCCAGGCTATGGTGCAGTGGCGTGATCTGGGCTCGCTGCAACCTCCGCCTCCCGGGTTCAAGTGATTCTCCTGCCTCAGCCTCCCAAGTGGCGGGGATTACAGGCATGCACCACCACGCCCAGGTAATTTAAAAAAATATTTTTAGTAGAGACGGGGGTTTCACCATGTTGGCCAGGCTGGTTTCGAACTCCTGACCTCAAGTGATCCGCCCGCCTCAGCCTCTCAAAGTGGTGAGATTACAGGCATGAGCCACCGCACCTAGCCCAGATGCACTGTGTAAAAGTAAGATCTGGGGAAGATCCAGGTGATAGGAAGGTTTTTCAGGGACATGTCAGAATAGTAAGAGGAAACTGCTGATTGAGAAGAGGTGTGTGATGTGATCTTGTCTGCTCGAAGATGGAGAGTTGACAATAAGGATATGTCATCAGCTTTCATCCAGCACTGTTGTCATTTGTGACATTTTAAAGTGTCTGGAAGACTCCTCCGTGTCTGAGATGGGTGCTGAGAAAACACGTGCGTGGTTTCTGCATCTGGGGAGTTTACGGTCTGTACCAGTTAGCGAGCTTTTGTCTGCACCTGGTTTAGACAATAAAGAAACATGACTAAGCCCGGCCATTGTCTTGGCTCCAGGCACCTGATGGTCCTTGACTCGTCCTCCAGGTTCCAGTCCTTTCCCGGCTTTGCCATTCCTGTAGGTCCTGTCTTCAGGCAGGTAGCCAGATGGCTCAGCAGGTCCAAGTTCACATCCAGGCAGTATCCAGGGAAGGAAGGGAGACAGCCTTCCCCTGGAGCTCCTTCTTGGGAGTGAGCAGAGTGTGGAAGCTTGGAGGCCTCTTCGCAGACTCTCCCTCACCTCTGCTTAGCTAGAGTTGTGTTGGATGCTGTATGGGAAATAGGATCCCTATGATTGACTGAGACAAAAAAAAAAAAAAAGAAAAAAAGAAGAAAACCCAGTTAACATCGTCCTTAAAGGTGAATGACTAAATGCTCTCCCCCGAGACTAGAAACAAGACAAGGATGTTGGCTCTCACCCCTTTTGTTCCACATTGCACTGCAAGTCCTAGCCAGAGCAATTCAACAAGGAAAAGAAATAAAAGAGCTGGGCGTGGTGGCTCACACCTGTAATCCCAGCACTTTGAGAGGCTGAGGTGGGTGGATCACCTGAGGTCAGGAGTTTGAGACCATCCTGGCCAGTATGGTGAAACCCCATCTCTACTGAAAATAGAAAAATTAGCTGGGTGTGATGGTGTGTGCCCGTAATCCCAGCTACTTGGGAGGCTGAGGCAGGAGAATCGCTTGAACCCGGGAGGCGGAGGTTGCAGTGAGCTGAGATCACACCATTGCACTCCAGCCTGGGTGACAGAGCGAGACTCCGTCTCATAAATAAATAAATAAATAAATAAATAAATAAATAAATAAATGGCATCCACATTAGAAAGGAAGAAGTTAAATGATCTTTGTTTGCAGATGACATGACCTTGTATATAGACAAGCCTGAGGAAGCCACTAAAGTGGAATAATTAAAACAGGGATTCTCAAGGCACTCGAGTGCAGGAGACACTGTAAATGCAGGGGTCTGAGCGTGTGTGCGTGAGCATTGTGGGAAGTGTTTCCCAGAGAAGTTGTTTTACCTGGGCCCACCTGGAGGATGTAAACGTTTCACCAGGAAATTGCAGAGTGGACAATTGGCAGGGGGGCAAAGGTGGGCATGTCAGCAGAGAAGGATGTGCAACTGCAGGGGAGTGGTGAGCACCTGTGCCTGCAGAATATGCAGGGGCAGGGGTGGGAGGTGGACTGTGGAGGTGAGCGGGGTCCACAGGACGGAGCCCCTTGTAGGCCTTGCCCAGGAGCTTGGACTCCAGCTGTCAGGCAGTGGGGGTGGCTCAGGGATCTTTGTAGAAGTGCTGGGACAATTGCATGATCACGGATGGTGCCTTGGTGGCATCAGGGACCCTGGAGTCTTACGTGTGCTCATTTGTCCTGGATGGAAGTGGCAGGGTCTTAGCCTGAGGTCCCCTTCCTTTCCAGGTTTCTGGGTGGAGCGGACCCCTGTGCACGAGGCAGCCCAGCGGGGTGAGAGCCTGCAGCTGCAACAGCTGATCGAGAGCGGCGCCTGCGTGAACCAGGTCACCGTGGACTCCATCACGCCCCTGCACGCAGCCAGTCTGCAGGGCCAGGCGCGGTGTGTGCAGCTGCTGCTGGCGGCTGGGGCCCAGGTGAGTGGCCCTTCAGGGCAGACCCCCAGACTGGCTGCAGCTGCCAGAATGGAGGAGGTTGACTCAGGAGAACTTGGGAAAGAGGGGAGGATGGGGGCTGCACTGTGTCCACTGCACACAGGTACCAGGAAGCCCATGGCTGAGAAGTGCTCGTGGACCTGGCTGTTAGGAGGTCACGGTGGTGGAAGAAAGGGCAGCCTGAGCAAATTGATGATGGGAGTGCCAGCCCTGTGGTGGGCAGGAGCCAGCAGGCTGGCCGCAGCCTAGACACAGGCTCTCTCAGGGGCAGCCAGGCCTGGGTGCAGAGCTGCTGCTTGGGCCCAAAGAGCAGGTTTCCGGCTTTAGGATAACTCAGTGGGATGCTGGCCAGCCAGCTCTCTGAAAAAAGGAACAAAAACAAAACTGTGTTGCTGCTTTCCCTGGTGTAAATGTTCCCACCCTGGCTAGTATTAAGCCACCGGGGGTTTCTGGTCAGCAGAATTCCTGGCACATTGGCAGCCAGCTCTCCCGAGCTGGCAAACACTGGCCCTGCACACCCCTGGCCAATGTATAAGTGACACAGGGACCTGGTCTCAGAGTTCAAGGGGTGAGGAAGAAGGGAAGACAGTGTACTGTTTACTCTTCCCAAAAGGTTGGAATGGAACCGATTTCAGTGTGTACCCAAATAGAATTTGAATTTGGACAAATGCTAAATAAAATTTGCCAATTTGGGGAGTTGCCTTTTTCCTGGCCTCTGACTTTCTCACTAGGGGAGGCGTGGTAAGCTGTCTCAGGCATTCCTTCCATTGAGGTTAGAGTTTTGTGTGTGTGTGTGTGTGTGTGTGTGTGTGTGTGTGGTTTTTTTTTTTTTTTTTTTTTTTTGAGATAAGGTCTTTCTCTGTCGCCTAGGCTGGAATGCAGTGGCGTGATCATAGCTCACTGCAACCTCATCCTCCTTGACTCAAGTGATCCTTCCACCTCAGCCTCCTGGGTAGCTGGGACTATAGGTGCATGCCACCAAACCCAGCTAATTTTTGTATTTTTTGTAGAGACAGGGTTTCGCCATGTTGCCCAGGCTGGTCTTGAACTCCTGAGCTCAAGTGACCCTCCCTCCTCGCCTTCCGAAGTGCTGGGGTTACAGGTGTGAGCCACTGTGCCCAGCTGAGGTTAGGGTTTTTAAAACTCATTTTTAAAGCCTGCCTTTCCCAGCTTGCAGCCTAGGGTTCCCCTGTCCTGCTCTGTGCTTACTAGGTGTTTGGGGCGGGGGTGGCGAGGGGGCTGCTGAGCTTATCCTGCCCTGAGAGAAAAGAATCCTGAACGAGATGACTTCTCTACTCAGGAGGCCGTCGGTGCTCCGCAGCCACGTGCTATCTCTTTCAGTGTCGTTGCCTAGCACATAATAGCAAAGCAAACCGGTGCTTCTAAGAAGCATCTTAGCAAAGATGAACCTGCAGCAGGATGGGAAAGTGGGTTGCGTGGCATTTCTCTGCCCTTTGACACTTGTTTCTTCCTCCCGTGAGGTGGATGCTCGCAACATCGACGGCAGCACCCCGCTCTGCGATGCCTGCGCCTCGGGCAGCATCGAGTGTGTGAAGCTCTTGCTGTCCTACGGGGCCAAGGTCAACCCTCCCCTGTACACAGCGTCCCCCCTGCACGAGGCCTGCATGAGCGGTGAGTTGGCAGACGGCTGGGCTGGCCCAGCTGGGCTCTGGAAGTTTCCTCCTTTCTGGGATTAAAGGGACTTAGGGAAGGAAGCAGAGTAGACAGAATTGGGAGCCCTTGGCTGGTGAAGGAGAGTTCTGAGTCTGTTTCTGGCTCCTGGTGGCTCAGCTGCAGAGATTCTAAGCTTTCCCTTCTTGAGGTCTTCGTCCAGGGCTGGGGTGGGTGACTCTAGGGTAGGATTCTGTGTCCAAGCCAGGGTTCCCTGGGCCTCTCCACGTTAGCAGGGCCTGGGGGACTCTGCAGAGGCTCACTTGGGCTTTGCTACAGTTTGCTCTGCAGGCCCCTGATTGAGATGGGAGACGACAGAGAAACGTGTCCCAACAGCCTGGGCCAGGAGGCTGTGCGTGGTGCTCTCAAAACAGTGCTGGTCCTGCAGGCTCAGGGAGCAGGTGGGACCTCATCTGCCCCCCAAGAATAGGCAGACTGCAGATGCTGGGAAGATAAAAGGGCACCCCGAGCATGGGGAACATTCCTTGTCCTATCTTACTGCATCAGAAGCTCCCAGTGGAGCAGAGAGGACTGGAATTTAGGGTGAGACCAGCTGGTGGGAAGATGTTTAAATGACAGACTAAGGAGTTTAGATTCTACTCTTTCGAGCAGAGGTTGCAAACTGTGGCTTATATCTTGACCGGCCAGCATGGCCTTTGTCTTTGGATGCACATCTGGGGTGCAGGGTATGGGGTATGTGCCCTTCCACGGTGCTGGCAGGGCCATGGCTGCATGTGGCTCACCCCTGATTCCTGCTCGTAGGTCTTTCCATGTCTGCAGGCCATGGGACAGCTCCAGGGAGCTCTTGAAGGTTTCTGAGCAGATGTCGAGGGTCAGGAAAACAGAATTTGGGGAAGGTTCATTTAGTGGTCCTCCATGTGCAGATAGACGGAGGTGCAGTGGTGGCTGGGGTCTCCTGGAAGCAGAGGGATGAGTTGGGGACCATCGCTGAGATCAAGGTGCCCAGTGCTCAGAGTAGGCTGGTGGAGTGGGATGGTTTCATTTAGTAGGGTTGGGGAAGGAATCCATAGGATTTCGTATGAAGGGGAGGCTCAAGAGGTCAGAAATGAGTCAGGTTTGAGTCAGGAGCAAGGACCCCAGGAAAGGGAGAGGGCTCTAGAGTGGGAGACACCGGCCGGTGGCCAGCACATGGCTCTGGGGCTGGGGCTGGGTGTGAGGCTGGTGGGGAAAATTAGGGAGCTGCCAACAGTGAAGAGGTAATTGAGTGAACGGAAAGGTTGGAGCCTAGACGGAATGTGCAGGGGCGGGAGGATGGGGGGCCTGGAACCCCGCTCCAAATCCGCATTACAGACCCAGGAAGAGGAGCCACTTAAGAGGCAGGAGAGGCCGGGCGCTGTGGCTCATGCCCTTGGTAATCCCAGCACTTTGGGAGGCTGAGGTGGGCGGATCACCTGAGGTCAGGAGTTTGAGACCAGCCTGGCACATGGTGAAACCCTGTCTCTACTAAAAATACAAAAAAATTAGTCGGGCACGGTGGTGCATGCCTGTAATTCCAGCTATTTGGGAGGCTGAGGTGGGAGAATCGCTTTAACCCGGGAGATGGCGGTTGTAGTGAGCTGAGATCGCACCACTGCATTCCATCCTGGGCAACAGAATGAGACTTTGTCTAAAAAAAAAAAAGAGGCAGGAGAGGCGGCTGCCGTGGTGCACAGGAGGATGACCTGCATAAGAAAGTCTGGGGGGTTTCCTGGGAGGCTGGGCTCAGTGCTGACAGCCGCAGGTAGACACAGGGCAGGGGGGCAGCGGGGGAGTTTTCCCTGACCCATTCTAGGTGGTGCCCCATGTCTTCTGTTCTCACAGCAAGAAGCCGGCCAGGCCCGTTTCTCCCACTGCCTTGAGCCCTCCGTCCTCAGCGGGGCGCAGAGCCGTGTCCTGGCTTCCTGAGGGCCATGCGGGTCATGAACTCCTCCCTAGGTTGGGACGCAGGCCTGCCTGGCTTCCCTGCCCTGCACCAAGGATGGAGGCTGCTGCCCCTGCCGCGTCTGTGTGCTTGTTGTCTCCAGTGTCCGTATTCAAGGACATTCCCCCCCTTTTCCATTTATCTTAAGGGAGTTCCGAATGTGTGAGGCTTCTTATTGACGTCGGGGCCAATCTGGAAGCGCACGATTGCCATTTTGGGACCCCTCTGCACGTTGCCTGTGCCCGGGAGCATCTGGACTGTGTCAAAGTGCTGCTCAATGCAGGTGAGTGGGTGTTTGCCCGAGCGGGTGTTTACCTGAGTGGGTGTTTGCCCGAGCGGGTGTTTACCTGCGTGGGTGTTTGCCCAAGTGGGTGTTTGCCCGAGTGGGTGTTTACCCGAGTGGGTGTTTACCGGAGTGGATGTTTGCCCGCGTGGGTGTTTACCGGAGTGGGTGTTTGCCCGCGTGGGTGTTTACCCCAGTGGGTGTTTGCCTGAGTGGGTGTTTGCCCGTGTGGGTGTTTACCTGCGTGGGTGTTTACCCCCGGGGGTGTTTGCCCGCGTGGGTGTTTACCCGAGGGGGTGTTTGCCCGAGTGGGTGTTTGCCCGCGTGGGTGTTTACCTGCGTGGTTGTTTACCCCCGTGGGTGTTTACCCGAGGGGGTGTTTGCCTGCGTGGGTGTTTGCCTGCGTGGGTGTTTACCTGAGTGGGTGTTTACCTGAGTAGGTGTTTGCCCGCGTGGGTGTTTACCCGAGTGGGTGTTTGCCCGAGTGGGTGTTTACCTGAGTGGGTGTTTGCCTGCGTGGGTGTTTACCTGAGTGGGTGTTTGCCTGAGTGGGTGTTTACCCAAGGGGGTGTTTGCCTGAGTGGGTGTTTGCCTGCATGGGTGTTTACCCCCGTGGGTGTTGCCCACGTGGGTGTTTACCCGAGGGGGTGTTTGCCTGAGTGGGTGTTTACCTGAGTGGGTGTTTGCCCACGTGGGTGTTTACCTGAGTGGGTGTTTACCTGAGTGGGTGTTTGCCTGCGTGGGTGTTTACCTGAGTGGGTGTTTGCCTGCGTGGGTGTTTACCTGAGTGGGTGTTTACCCCCGTGAGTGTTTACCCGCGTGGTTGTTTACCTGAGTGGGTGTTTACCTGTGTGGGTGTTTACCTGAGTGGGTGTTTGCCTGCGTGGGTGTTTGCCTGCGTGGGTGTTTACCTGAGTGGGTGTTTGCCTGAGTAGGTGTTTACCTGAGTGGGTGTTTGCCTGAGTGGGTGTTTGCCTGAGTGGGTGTTTGCCTGAGTGGGTGTTTACCTGCAGAGTGTGTATTTATGGATTTATCTGAGAAGTTTGCCTGAATGGGTATATACTTGCAAGGCTGTTCACCTGAGCAGGTGTTTACTTGCACGAGCATTTACCTGAACAGGTATTTACTGTGCCTAGCAGAGAGCTGGGTAGAGGAGTCAGAGGGACCAGGGTTGGAGGCTGGCTCTCTTACTTGCCAGCTGAGACCTCGGGCCTCAGTTTACATATCTGTAACACTGGAAGAATCTATGCTGCAGGTTGCTGGGAGAACTGAGGATGTTTCCCCGGTGCCTGGTGTGTCCTAGTAGGTACTCAACAGATGCCAATGATTATTTCTAGAGATCACAGGCCACTGTCCCCACAGCTGCCTGGTGAGGTTGCTGCCTGAATCCAAGAGAGAAGGGGATGTAATGGGAAGTGGAGTTGGCAGCGTTTAGGAGAATATGGAGCATTTGGAATCCAGGCCATTGTCGGGTGTTCGAAAAGACTCAGGATTGAGATTCCCAAAGAGGGAAAAAAATCAAAACCAAAAAGACCAACCAATCGAGGATTAGGCTCAGGACCTGTCTATACCAAAAGTTTTAGCCAAAGTGACTGTTAGCACAGGGTTTTTATCAACCCAACTTAAATGTTTTGTTGAGGGAAAATTTTAGTTTCATCATCTTATCCAAATTCTGGGTGTAGTGTAGGATAAAAACAAAACTGTTTAGGATGGCTGGGCACTGTGGCTCACAGCCATAGTCTCAGCACTTTGGGAGGCTGAGGCGGGAGGATTGCTTGAGCCCGGGAGTTTCAGCCAGCCTGGGAAACATAGCAAGTCCCCTTCTCTTAACAACAAGAACAAACCTGTTTGGGAACAGGAAGATCATGAATTCCCCCTGATGACAGCCATTTGAGCTTAGTTATGTGTAGTTTTTTATTGGAGAATCTTACTCACTTTCATGTGCCACTTTTCAGTCTTTTTAGTGGAAAAGATTCGTTTTGTGTAGGAATAGTTGTTGAGGTACTTTTAATTTTTTTATACACTGTCTTAGAAGTATCTCCATTGGAAGCAGGTGTAAGCGTTTCCAGCCGAGCCGTTCCTCTGGCAGCTGGATCCGTTTCTATGAACACAGCGCAGTGCGTTCATATCAAGCCTTTATGAGCTCAGTACACACGAGTTCCATTTTTACCTTCGTTCTGTTTGGTGTGGTTGTAGGGAAAGGGATCAACTTAGTGTTTAAAGCAAACATCCTTTCTGTATCAGTTAGGACTTCATGTCAGTTGGACACCTTTGCGAGTAACAGGAAGCCACTTCCACTGGTAAACAATGGCGGGCATTTCTAGTTCAGGTGACTTCAGGGCTGAGACGCAGAGCAGGATTAGGGGCGGCTGGACCGGAGGTTCCGTGGTGTCACCCAGGCCTCAGTTTCTTTGAACGTTGCGATTCTGCTTTCCTCAGTATTGGCTTCATCCTAAGCCTCCGGCCTCCCTGAGCAAGGTCACGGGGCTGCAGTGGCTTCAGGCCTACACGCCAGACGTTTCCTGTTTTAAGCCTTCTGGAGGCTCTTTCAGCGGAGTGGAAAATCCCTTTTCACACACCCCTCCCCAGTCCCTTTGCCCAAACTTTGCCAAATTCTGATGGGCTGAAGCCTGGGTCATTAGAACTAATTACTGTGGTCAGGGGAGAGGGATTGGACTAGGCGGGACCCACGCTGGAGCTGAAGTCAGGTCTGCTCCCGCCCCCACCACATTACCAGGTGGCAGCACAGTCGGGGGTGGGGGCTGGAAAGGAAGGGGCAGCTGTGAGGCCCACTGTCGCCCTAAAGTGGGGTTCCCACAGCTCTCCCCGGGAGTTTGCATGCCCCTGGGGAGTTAGAGGTGAACGTGGCTTTCTTGGGGAAGCCTCCGCACAGTGACTGTTGGTGTTGGCTCGATGCTGTGGGTAGCATCCAGCCATCAGCTCCACGCGGGATTCCTGGTTCCCATCCTACTCTTGGGTGGTCTCCTCTAGTACCCCTTGTGAGAGCAGATGGATCATCATCTTCTTCTTAGAAACCATTTTTTCATTGCGGAAAATTTCAAACATACAGAGGAGAGAGAAACAACAGCATCCCCTACGTCCTCACAAACAGATTTTTAAAAAGTAGTGATTCTGATCTTTTGGGGTCAGGTCACAGATCCCTCGGGAAACCAAAGGAAAGCCAGGGACCGTGTCTCTAGAAAAACAGAAGAGTGGAAAGTCCCTTTTCCTGCACCCCTCCCCAGTCCCTTTGCCCAAACTTTGCCAAATTCTGATCGGCTCAAGCCTGGATCATTTGAACCAGTTACTGTGGAGAGGGGAGAGGGATTGAACCAGTCGGGGCCCACATGAGTGCAGGTGCTTTCATGTGCGGTTTGAGAGCTGAGCTGTGAGGCAGAGCCACGTTGCACCCCACGGGGGACGTGGAGACCGTTGTTCTTGTTCTTTGTAGGCAGTGAGGCGAGTCCAGGAACCAGATTGTATTTGCAAAGGAGGAGGGCTGGGGAGGGTGAAAGTCCGGTTATGATGGTGAAGTAATTTTTAATCTGATCACTGACAGTGAATGTTGAACTCTGCCAGGAGTGTTCGGAAGCGGCTCCCTGAGGACGGTCCTGCTTCCACCTTTGTTCTTAGCACTGGCCCTGGCACAATTTAAAAAATTTTTTTAAAATTGTTGTTTAATTTTTAAAAAATTTTTTAATTATAATTTTTTAAATTTAATTTTTTTTTTCAATTTCTCTTGTGGTAACAAGCACCTATTGAGCTATTTGTGTTTATGTTCCAGGATTGTGCCAGTCTTGGCGTGCTAAGGTCTTAGGCGGTCCCGTCACGTCACTGGCCACGGGTTCTCTGAATCCACTTTAATCCTATTTTGTGTTGAAAGCAGGATTTTGGTAATGAGCCTGTGTTGACCCCTTTTCTCTGAAGCACGAAGTTCAGAGCTTTTAATTCCCTGCTTGTTTCCTGGCTCCCTGTCTTTGTCTCTCTCTGTCTCTGTGTCTCTGTCTCTGCCTCAGTCTTTCTCTTGCCTCTCAGTTCAAGGTATGTTACCATCCTTGCTTCACACAAAGTTACTTTCTTTCCCTCTCCTACCCTCTTTCTCTCTTCCTTCTTTCCTCTGTATCTGTTCCCTTCTTTCTTTCTTTTTTTTCTGAGATGGAGTCTCGTTCTGTCACCCAGGCTGGAGTGCAGTGGTGTGATCTCTGCTCACTGCAGCCTCCATCTCCCTGGTTCAAGCGATTCTCATGCCTGAGCCTCCTGAGTAGCTGGGATTATAGATGTGCACCACCACGCCCAGGTAATTTTTGGATTTTTAGTAGAGACGAGGTTTCACCATATTGGCTAGGCTGGTCTTGAACTCCTGACCTCAGGTGATCTGCCCGCCTCAGGCTCTCAAAGTGCTGGGATTACAGGCATGAGCCACCGTGTCTGGCCCTGTTTTCCTCTAACGAGTACCTGTTTATGTTCTCTTTCTCACTATGGGCCTCACTCTGTCATCCAGGCTGGAGTGCAGTGGTACGATCGTGGCTTGCTGCAGCCTCAACCTCCCGGGCTCAAGTGATCCTCCTACCTCAGCCTCCAGAGTAGGTGGGACCACAGATGTGTGCCATCACGCCCCCCGGGTAATTTTTAAATTTTTGTAGAGCTAGGGTCTCACTATGTTGCGCAGGCTGGTCTCGATTTCCTGGGCCCAAGAGATCCGCTCGCCTCGAATTCCCAAAGTGCTGAGATTACAGGCGTGAGCCCTGTACCTGGCCCAAGCATATATTTTTAATGAACATAGCTGATCGAGTTTCATCTCTGACTCTCTTCTTGGCTCACTCAGTGCTATACTTTCAGGATCCATCCATGTAGCTGCCTGCACCCCTGGCCTGGTGTTTCCCTTCAATCCCTTATTCACAATTTCATTTCCTTCCTTATTCACCTTCCTTCCCTTCCACCCAATCAAATGATGCCAAACACACATTTTGAAAAGATGTACATTGGGAAGGCTGCCTCCCTGCAAGAGCCCCTGGCCAAGGCCTCGTCTGTGGAGCGTGGCAGGGAGCGTGATTTTTAGAGCTCTTTCCAGCCATGGTTTTCTCCCTGATCGTGAGAGAGTAGCTGTGCCTCCCTTGGGCCTCTTTCTCTGTTTTTCTTCTTTTGTTAAAATAGAGACCATCTCTTTCTCTCCCAATTGGCAAGAATATTGCCAGAATTAATGACATGAGAGAAAGCTACTTGAACTTTAGATTCTGTGGATGGTACAATTTGTTTTTCATTACAAGCATATGTTTAGTGTTAAAATTTACTTCGTGTTATGATTGCAACATTATACTGGAGGAAAACCCCTTATGTGAAAGAGAGGTTGAATTGTGGGGAAATATTTCTTTAATCTATTGCTTTTGAATATTATTTTTTTGTAGTACATTTCTGCCAAATTCAGGACATAGATAAGTTAGCATTTTTCCTAGTTGAGAGATCCTTTTCCTGTTCTGACTTCTGAGTTTTGGCTGCGGGAAGTGGAAAGAACTTTCTTAAATTATGTCATCACTTTGGAGGGCTGGGGCGTTCTTAGGATCCCTCCACGAATGCTGTTATGAGCATGGTTCTTATGTGCTTTTAGGGGATTAAAATATTTTAAAGCAGAAAGCGGGATTTTTCCGATGCTTTTTGAGCTAGAGGAACTAGAAAATGTAAAAGCGTTCCACCTCTCAGCTCCTCTTTTGACCCTCTGAGACTGTCGGGAAGTGATGGCATGCTAGTGTCTGATTGTTTTAAAATCCCACTTTTGATAATACTTTATGTTTGTGGTTTGAATCTATCATTTGGCGAATTATTTTACTGATGCTGGGCGATTTGCTTGGCTTCTTTAAAACACTTCTCTTTTATTTGTTTTCTCTTATAACCTCCTTTGTTACTTGAGGAACAGACTTCGAATAAAATGGCATTTTCTTTCAAAAGAATTCTGAAGCCCTGGGGGATTCCATTGTATCGGATCAGTGATGGCTGTGCCCTAAGAATGATGTGTTACAAAAATCATATTTTTATCAAAATTTTTTTTAGTGTGTTGCAAAATGCCATATGTGACCAGGTGTGGTGGCTCATGCCCGTAGCCAGGAGTTCGAGACCAACCTGGCCAACACGGCAAAACCCCGTCTCTACAAAAAATAGAAAAATTAGCCGGGCATGGTGGCACACCTGTCATCCCAGCAACTCGGGAGGCTGAGGCAGGAGAATCGCTTGAACCCTGGAGGCGGAGGTTGCAGTGAGCCGAGATCATGTCACTGCACTCCAGCCTGGGCAACAGAGTGAGACTCTGTCTCAAAAAAAAAAACCCAAAACCAGCCATATTTAGCTACTAATTCCTTGCATCTTTCTGAATGTCTGCTCTTTTTTTTAAAAAAAAATTTTTTTTTACCTTTACTTTTAATCAGCTTGATGAATGTCTGCTCTTATCGTGAGAAAGTTGAGGAGTGCAGAGCTTACTCTCTTCTCTGAATTGCCTACTGTTTTGGGTACGTTATCTGTTTTCCTTTTGTAAAAGAATATGCATTGTTAAGGAACATTTATTCTTTCATTCAACCAGTATTTCTGGAGCCTCCGTCCTGGGCCCGCAAGAGGAAGAAGCAGTGTGTGTCTGTGCTGGAGGCCAGGCGGGAGTGCTTGAGTGGCTCTGGTTTGAGCTTCCGGAAATCTCAGGACCCCTGAAGGCAGATTGATAGGGCATTAGAACGGTTGTTTAACTCAGGACATTTTTCGTTTTATTTTTCTTCTTTTCGGTTCTATTTCTAGTTATTTCTTTATTATTGCTGCCTACCTTTATCTCTCATGAGTGGGGACAGTAAGTAGTTCCTGCTTTTGGATGTTGAAAAACATTTTTGAAAGCTACGGTAGAGTCTGTCCTGATTTTGTCTTCTGGGTGGGGATTGCTTCTGCCACCGTGCTGTGTGACGAAACGGACCTGATTGTCCCCCTGACTTCAAGTTCTCTTCTTGGTGAAATCTCTTCTGCACTCTTGACCTCCAGGGGCCAACGTGAATGCGGCAAAGCTTCATGAGACTGCCCTTCACCACGCGGCCAAGGTCAAGAATGTTGACCTCATCGAGATGCTTATCGAGTTTGGCGGCAACATCTACGCCCGGGACAACCGCGGGAAGAAGCCGTCTGACTACACGTGGAGCAGCAGCGCTCCCGCCAAGTGCTTCGAGTACTACGAAAGTGAGACACCCCACCGAGCGCACCCCATCCCCTCCAGCCTTCAGCCTGGACCCCTGACGTGCCGGCTCCCTGTGGGCTTCCGCGGAGAGCTGGGCTGTTAGTCCTGGCTCCTGTCCTCTGCGCTAGGACAGACCCTTAAGCACTTTGCGGGGGCTGTTTGTGCTGTTGCCCCAGCTCTCCCTGGGTTCCCTGTGGCCCGTGGCGTGGAGCAGCAGAAGCTGTGGCCGACACCTGCCCGGGCACCAGACCTGTGCCTCCTGTGCTGGACATTTGACAGATGAGCCTCCTAGCTGCAGATTAGTTGTTTGATGACAAGTTTGGGTGCTGAAATATAATGCCGTGTCTCAAAAAACCAAAACCATGGTTTTGAAAAGGCGCAGTGGCTCACACCTGTAATCACAGCACTTTGGGAGGCTGAGGCGGGCAGATCACCTGAGGTCAGGAGTTCGAAACCAGCCTGGCCAACTTGATGAAACCCCATCTCTACTAAAAATATAAAAATTAGGCGGGCATGGTGGTGGGTGCCTGTAATCCCAGCTACTCGGGAGGTTGAGGCAGGAGAATTGCTTGAATGCAGGAGGCGGAGGTTGCAGTGAGCTGAGATTGTGCCGCTGCACTCCAGCCTGGGTGACAGAGTAAGAGATTCTTGCCTCTGTCGCTTTTTTTCTGTCTCAAAAAACAAAAAACAAAAAACCTCAAAACCAAACAAACTCCCAAAGCCCACAAAAGGCAATCCCAGTGGACATCATGCCCCGAACTTCATTTCCTGGGCTCCCTTCCTCGGGTTCCTGGCTGTCCTTCCAGAGAAGGCCTACAGGACACATCCCGGTTCCAGGGGAAAGGGAGGCGTTTCCGATTCCCTCTGAGTTTGTGTTCCATTGCAGGTGTTGTGCTTCTTCCTGAAATTAACCTCACATCCTTCCTTGCTCCCTTTTTCAGAGACACCTCTGACTCTGTCACAGCTCTGCAGGGTGAACTTGAGGAAGGCCACTGGCGTCCGAGGGCTGGAGAAGATTGCCAAGTTAAACATCCCGCCCCGGCTCATTGATTACCTCTCCTACAACTGAATTGCAGGTGGGGTCCGGACCGTGGCTGCCCCCGTTGTGCCCAGCATTGCCCGGGTGAGGGCTCTGCCTGTTCCTCTGAAGCAGCGTGATTGCTGTAGATAGAACAACGCTCCTTCGAGTCCCTTCCTGCGATCCTGTTTAGGCTTCTCTCCTGGATCCTGGATAATGTTTCCAGGGTGTTGGGAAGGCCTGCGTCTCAGGTCACAGTTGTGGGTGTGGCCCTGCGCTGTTCTACAGAACCTACCCTCTCAATGGGCATGGGCCCAACCATCCAGTTTTCCTCTTTTACGGACCATCCTCAAAGGCACTCTCAGGACAGACGGCGTGGGGAGCACAGAGGAGGCTGGCAGAGCTGGGGACTGAGGGCATTGTTGCTGATTCTCACTCACCGGGGCAGCCTGCCGCAGATGCACAGGCCCCAGGTGCAGGCCACCACCTCCGGGTCGGCACCAGGACTGCCCTCGGTGCTCATAGGGAATGGCTGGGCCCACGGAAGGTCGGCCTGGGATGTGGCCTGGGACTGCTGCTCTGCTGGCTGCTGTGTGGATGCTTTTCCTGGAGCACTTTCCAAGGCATCCCCCAGCCCCAAGCCTGCGCGCATCTGTCACTCAGGGACTTTCTATGGGTCTTTGTGGGGGAAGGCCCTGGCTTTGTATTCCCCACAAGTAGCACTGAGTTTCTTAGGAAATTTGTCTTCAGTATTAGGTCTCCAACTCTTGTAAAAAGTTTATATGTAGGATAAAAACCTTTTAGAGGACACGTAGGCGGTACCACTAAGGTTTTGGTAATGAGCCATTCAAACCGACAGCAGTGTGAAGGTGTGTCAAGGTGTATATTCTCGTGGCTCGGCATTCTCAGTGCAAAGGCCTGTTTGGAGACTCTGTGGGAATTGTTTTTCATCTGTTTCTATGGTTGTCAAATGAATTCTTCACCCACCCTACAGTTTGCTAACTCCTTGAAGCTATCAAATTAGTAAGACCATCTATCACATCCAGCATTGTCCCAGTGCTTTGAGTTGGACGGGAATGGGACTCTGCAGCCAAGGCAGGATAAGAAAATCTTGCAATCCCGTCCTGCAGTGATAGAAACAGGTCGTTCTGCATTATAAGCCATAGGTGGAGCATTCGGTAGCGTATTCAGACTGCATGGGCCGGCCTAGGAGTCTTTGCCTTCATAAATTTTAAGAACCCCGCCCACAACAGGGAGTTAAACTGGAGGACTTTGCATGATTAGTTCAGGGATGAGTGGTTTCTGGGGCATCTGAGGTCAGGAGTTTGAAACCAGCCTGGCCAACTTGATGAAACCCCATCTCTACCCATTCTGGAGAACAGGTCACGCCTGTCCTGGAGACAGTGTGCCGGGAAAAGGGAACGTGGTACTCACTGGATGCACCCAGGCCGGCCCGAGCCTCCCACCGCAGACAGTGTGGAACAGAGTGAGCCTGAGCTGCCCAAGGCGATGCCCTTTGTGCTGTATGACTGGAGGCCTCTCCGCGTGGGTACTTGGGGGTGGGGCCACAAATCTGGCGAAAAACTTCATGCTGGCCGCCGTGAGGTTTTACTCCAGCGTTCCCGCCATTGTCATGGCGGGTCTTCGTCCTAAACTGAGAAGAAAAGCATTCCTGTTTGATCACCGCCTTAGTTACCAGTTCTGGATCAGTCAGTGTTTCTGCATGGAATAACAACCATTAAAAAAAGCACTGGGTTCTGCCCTTTCATCTTTGTAAGAGATTCTTGCCTCTAGCAATGACAACCTGTGATGTCTCACAGTAGAGCACTTAGCGCAGAATCAGGTCCCCACGGCTGTTGCTCAATAAAAGTGGCGGAATAAAGTGCATCCCTGTGTTCACACGACTCTTTTCTTATGGGGCAGAAACACCAAGATGGGCGCATCCTGTGTGGATGGAGAGGGGTGGCTCTCGTCTTGCTGTGTCCCAGGTCGTTTGGCAGCGCTGTGCTTGCCAGGGAGCCACACTTTCCCATCTCTTCCCCAGGTCTCCTGATGCCAACTTCAGCACCCCCCTTATGTGGACTTTTCTTGGGGGAGACAGACGCTGTCCACGGGACCAGGTGACTGGGATTTTGGGTCCTCCCCTGCCCTTATGCAGGGCTGTGACTGCACACAGGTTTATCTGCTTCTCTACTCTGAGTTGTTCCGGAAAGCTGCAAAACCGAGATAATGGATCAGACTTGGAGCATTGAAGGGGTCTTGATGACCAACCACTGAGCCAAGCCCGTCACCTCAGGTGGACGAGATTGGGTCCCCAGCGTCAGGTTTTGTGTTTTTTTTTTTTTTTTTTGAGGTGGAGTCTCGCTCTGTCGCCCAGGCTGTAGTGCAGTGGCACGATCTCGGCTCACTGCAAGCTCCGTCTCCTGGGTTCACGCCATTCTCCTGCCTCAGCCTCCTGAGTAGCTAGGACTACAGGCACCCGCCACCACACCCGGCTAATTTTTTTTTTTGGTATTTTTAGTACAGACGAGGCTTCACCATGTTAGCAAGGATGGTCTCGATCTCCTGACCTCGTGATCCTCCTGCCTCGGCCTCCCAAAGTGCTGGGTTTACAGGTGTGAGCCACTGCGCCCGGCCGCCTCAGGTTTTTATGAGGCTGAAATTAAATGATTGAAAGATGCCTTGGCTGGGTGGGGTGGCTTATGTCTATAATCCTAGCACTTTGGGGAGCCAAGGTGGGCAGATCACTTGGGCCAGGAGTTTGAGACTAGCCTGGCCAAGATGTTGAAACCCTGTCTCTACTGAAAATACAAAAATAAGCCAGCTGTGGTGGTGTATGGTTGTAATCCCAGCTAGTCAGCAGGCCGAAGCAGGAGAATCGCTTGAACTTGGAAACGGAGGTTGCAGTGAGCCAAGATCGTGCCACTGCACTCCAGCCTGGGAGACAGAGTGAGACTCTGTCCCCACAAAAAAGAAAAAAAAAAGATGCCTTGAAAAGCCTAAAGTGGTCCCCAAATATGAAAGTTACATTGACTGTTGTGTGGTTTTGTTGATGTTTGTAGATCTTGCAGCTGTGTGAACTATTCCCGCCTTAAGATCATACCATCTATTTCAGGAGTCCTGCAGTCATAAGACTTCTCAGTTTACATTTTCAAATGCAGTGTGCAGTGGACAGATTTGGAGCAGATGTTTGCAACATATATAACAAGTAATTGGCAAGCAAAATATATAAAGATCTTATGATAGATCATTAAAATGGGCCAGGTGCTGTGGCTTATGCCTGTCATCCCAGCACTTTGGGAGGCTGAGGCTGGAGGATTGAGCTTAGGAGTTTGAGACAAGCTTGGGCAGCCTAAAGAGACCCCATTTCTACAAAAAAGAAAAGATAAACAACCCAATAGAAAAAAACTGGGCAAAGAATAAGAACAGGGCTTTATAAAAGAGGGATCTTGAAATGTCCACTCCCAGGAAAGGATGCTGAGAAGTGATCAGGGAAATTCAAATTAATATTTAATTCAACAAAGTGATTACCATTGAATGTCGCCATTGAGACAGTCATTGAAAGGTCTGAGTTTCACAGTGTGGATGGGTGGGCCATGTGGGCAAATGGAAATGCACAGGCTGCTAGTGGGGAATACATTGATGATAGGTCTGTTTTGGAGAGCTATTGGCTGATATTAATGCAATGAAAAATGTGCATACCCCTTGTCCCCAGTAATTCTACTTTATATAAATAATACCCTAAAGAAACTCTCAGGCAATATCACAAGGAGACATGTATGAGGTTGTTTACTGCAGCGATACCTGTAATAGTGAAAACCCCACCAGTTGGGAGTAAGATGTAGAATATCATATACATCTTACATGTCATACCTACACTCGATAAAAGTTAAGATGGATTAGAACTACACGTTTTAACACGAATAGATCTCAAAAATATAGTGGTCGATCAAACAATTGCCAGACTTTTCTGTGTATGGTATGAGTCAATTTGTATAATTTTTTTAAAAAGCCCATCTAATAATTCATACGTATGCAGTAAATACATAAAATCATGGAAACCACACACTGGCATCATGGGGATACCAGTGGCTTGGGGATAGGAACGCAGGGAACTTCACCTCTGTTGTATTGCATTTCTTAAAAAGTGATGTTGGCCAGGAAGAGTGGCTCACGCCTGTAATCCCAGCACTTTGGGAGGCTGAGGCGGGAGGATTGCTTGAGCTCAGAAGTTCGAGACCAGCCTCGGCAACATAGTGAGACCCTATCTCTAAAAAAAAAAAAAAAAAAAAAAAGATACGAAGCACATGATAGAATGCTACTATTTGCTCATGTTGGGGGGCAAATAGAAACATGGGGTTACTCTCCATGTGTTTTGATGTTTGATTTTTTCATAATAAAAATTGAATGCATAGAGGAACAACGAAGGGCAAAAAAACCAAAAAATTAGAAACTCGGTTGTGCTTACAAACACCTTTCAGATTCCTGTTGGCCACAACGGCATGGTTTTGGTTATAGGAGCTTGTATTCCACAGTGGGTGTTGACACTTTTTTTGGAACTACTCTCAGACAAACTAGGTATGCAAAGCCCTGTGTCCTGAGGTTTGTCTCACAGAGCCGACCCTCATCTCCTCTGTAGGAAAGTGCTGGGTAAAATGCCTCTCACTGATTGGCCTCGCTGCGCTGGTATGGCTCCCTCCCTGGACAATGGTGCGTCTTCTAGGTCTGGCTCTGGGCAAAGTCCCTGGTATCAAACCCTCCCCTTTGGAGAGGTCATAATTGAGGGGCCATTTCACAGTAAGAAAATGCAGCTGCACCCTCTGTCCCCAGCCCGTGGAGGCGGGGTGCTGCCCACCTTCTGCAGGTGGGAGGCGTCGTGAGGGAGACAGCAAGAGACCCCAGTGGGATCCCCAGTGGGATCTCTTGCTCAGCTCTGGGCTCCCCGTGGTCTTCCAGGGAGGGAGTGGAATCTCGTCTACTCCTGGACCATAGCAATGCTCCCTGTGGTATCCCATCTGTGCTACCAGGTGAGTCTGCAGAGAGCTCTGAAGTCATTTGGGATGAAAAGAATGCCTTTCCCTGTCCATTTCATGCCCTGGGCCACTTTGTTAAACTGCTTGTGCTTTCTCTCCAGTGGGCAACACCTGTTTCTTCTAGGCAGTTGAGTTCCTTTATTCGGAAAAACGAGCGTAAGACTGGCTCTGAGAACAAAGCTGGACAGCTTGCTCATCTTTCGAGCAGCTGTGCCGTGGAGAGATGAAGGTGGGGCGCACAGGGCCCTGGCAGGGGCTGTGCCCCCTGTAATGGCTGAGAAAATATTTCCAGACCCTGGAGTCTTTGCCTTTTCTCTTTTCTCCACATTAGCACCACATGACAGTGACAGCGAGGCCTCAGTGATTTTGGCTTGAAGGTCTTGTGATCTCCGACAAGTTGAATGAAAAGATGTCTTAAATTGGTCCAATCTAAAGAGTGCCTCCTTTTTCTCCAAACCATGAAAAAAGGCAGAAAAGATGGATGATAGGCCTCTCTGCCTGTCTCTGTCTCTCTCTCTCTCACGCACCTGTGTACACATTTATTCGTTCAAATACAATTTCACTCTAGCATCTGGCCTCCAGGTGTGCGGTTGTTGTGCACACGGACTTCATGGCTGGGGAGAATCTGCCACTGGACGCTGAGCCAGGATGTGCACTTAGCTTCACCATCTGCACTCTGAGTGATCAACAAAGAAAAGTCCCTCCGTTCTTGGTGTGAATCCAAATCCCGAAGCTTGTTCCACTGTGCTGGGGACAGAGGGTAAGACCAGAGGAGAAGCAGGGACATCCTCTTGCTCCTTGGTCCTCTTCCCCATCTTCCCCATCCAAGCCCACCCATCTTCTTCTTTCCTTTTTTTACCAGTTGTTCTATTTTAAGTTCTCTGCTGGGCACTAATGATATGAGAACACATAAAAGCAAATCTTGGCCCCGAGCATCTCAGAGTCTGTTTTTCAGGGAGCAGGTATAGGAACAGATGTTGCACCTCATCATGTGGTGAGCTGGGGGATGCTGTGGTCTGAATGTCTGTCTCTCCCCAGATTCCTGTGTTCAAATCCCCACCCCCACAGTGATGGTATTAGGATGTGGAGCCTCTGGGTGCTGATTAGCTATGAGGGCAGAGCTCTCTTGAAAGGGACCAGTGCCCTTAGAAAAGAGGTGCCAGGCCTGGTGCACTGGCTCACACCTGTAATCCCAGCACTTTGGGAGGCCAGGGTGGGCTGATCACTTGATGTCAGGAGTTTGAGACCAGCCTGACCAATATGGTGAGACTCCGTCTGTAGTAAAAATACACAATTAGCCAAGCATGGTGGCGGGCGCCTGTAATCCCAGCTACTTGGGAGACTGAGGCAGGAAAATCGCTTGAAGCTGGGAGGCAGAGGTTGTAGTAAGCCGAGATCGTGCCACTGCACTCCAGCCTGCACAATAAGAGTGAAACTCTGTGTCAAAAATAAAAATAGGTGCCAGAGAGCTGCCTTGCCCCTTCAGGCAGATGAGGACACAGAAAGAAGTCGCTGTCTATGGAGAAGAGAGCAGTCATCACCAGGCAGGGATCCTGGACTTCTCAGCCTCTAGAACTTTGAGAAATAGATTTCTGTTGTTTAAAAACCACCAGTGTTTAGGTTTTGTTTGCTTTTATTTGAGCCGGGGTCTTGCTCTGTTGCGCAGGCTGGAGTGCAGTGGCATGATCTCAATCTCCTAGGCTGAAGTGATCCTCCCACGTCAGCCTCCTGAGTAGCTGAGGCTACAGACGTGTGCCACCACATCTGTCTAATTTTTTAACTTTTGTAGAGACAAGTTCTCATTATGTTGCCCAGGCTGGTCTTAGGCTCAAGGATTCCTCCCTCCTCAGCCTCCTGAAGTGTTGAGATTACAGGCATGAGCCACTGTGCCCAGCCATATAGAATTTGTTTTAGCAGCCTCAGCAGACCAGGACAAGGCATGAGCAAACTTGACTCTTAACTCTGCCAAGGACACTGGAGAAGACAGAAGAGGGATGACTGCTGACCTTCTAAAGTCTTGGATTAATAAAGTCAATTACATAGCATAAAGAACAACTTCATTTTGATTCCCATGGTGCTCTGTGGTTTACAAAGCTTTATAACGACTTTGATTAATGGCAGCACTCTTCTGGGATGAGGATGAAGAAACAGAAGATTTGTTGAAGTGACTTTTCTTTTCCTTCATACTTTTTCTACCAGGCACGAAGAAGAGAGTGAGACTTAATTCCATGGAATTTTACATGTATAACAGGGCTTACTGTAATCCTTCTTATGCTTATGATTTTCAAAGACCTGGGAGAGACTTTGATCATAAAAGGCAAGATTTGGCCATCCGGAGAGCGTGGGATTTTGCCTACGAGCCTCTAGGAATCTGTGGGCGGCAGAACAGAAATAGGTCATTTATAAAACTTGACTGAGCCATAGGAAAAAAAATCCATCACAAGCTGACTTCAAAGAGTCTAATTGTTAGATTTTTTTCCTTCTTCTTTGGTGTCAGAGGGGTCCCTTGCTGCTTCTAAAATAGCATGGAGTATAAACTTGTATTCAAGAAATATAGGTAAGATACGATTTAGGTGCAGTTTTGGTTAAATACAGCATTGATGAGAGCAGTATTACTCAAGAGGCTGGGTGCTACTGAGTTCCCACATCCAGCCCCCAACCTGTGCTTGTCCCACCACATGTGGCTCCCACATCCAGCAGGCTGAATCTAAAACTGGCCTGGTCTATAAGGCCGTTCCTCAGATGATCTGACAGCCCATGGATTAATTCTGTGTCACTTTCAAACAGGGCAATAGAGTTGTCAAGACTTGATAAAGCCCAATAATATTTCTAATAACAAGTAAACTGAAAGCCCAGCTGGGCACTGATTCTTATTTTGTGTTGGGCTCCCAGGCCAGCCTACAACGATGTGTTCCTTTGCATTCAACAAACATTCACAGCCAGGCTTCCTAAGCTGGAGTCCCTGGATGTGTGCTTTGCAGATCTTGGCTGTAAAGTATCTCACTGGTCTTTCTCTCTGGCACCTCTTGTTATGCCTCCAGCTGCAGCCAAGCATCTGGGCCTTGGTCACCGAGTGCTGTGATTGCAGGCACTCTGTGCTGACAAGTGACTTGGTTGCCTCAGACCAGGTGTGACTCATTATTTTCCTCCTGACATTCCAAGCACTGAAGTAAATGATTGATGGAGGGAAAGATCCAAAGTGTCAGAGAAGTCTCTCTCTTGGCCGTGAATAACAGGCTACCTTGAATTGGTGTTTCCTTTGCGTATTTTGTTTCTAAGCAAATCGAGTCCCAGGTAGAGTTTTGCCCTTGAGCAGCTTCATGAGGTCAAGGAGGGGCGCTCACTCCACTCTGCACGGAAACACTGAGTGGAATGAAAATACAACCGGAGAGAATGTCCTCCCCACCAGAAGGTCGCCTCGAGACAGGCCTCCACGCATCGTTGCTGACCTCACACAGTGATACCTCTGCATGCCGGGGAGCAATTCCATCCAAGTAAGTGGTGGGTGGGGACAGTTTCTCTCCCTCTGGGGACATGCCAGACTGAGTCCTTGGCAGTACTCTGTTTTCCCGGGAGGCCCTTTTGCCCAAACTGGGACATCTGGTTCCATTAGGAAATCAGAATGTTCCTCTGGGCTTGTGGCGTGCTCCCAGGTGGACACTCCTCTGGGAACGCAGCTGCCTAGGGCAGGATCATTTCACAGGACCTCAGGAAATTACAGGAGGAGCTTGGACCCAAATCCTCCCCAGTGCAGTCAGGAAACACGGCTGAGAGAGTGTTCCCTGCAAGGCCAGAAATGATGGCTTTAATATTACCTCTCTTTCTCTCTCATCTATCATCATCTATTCCTTCTCTCTATCATCTATTATCCCTCTATCTACCTATCCATCCATCAGTCATCTATCTATTCATTTATCTATCCATCCATTGATTATCTATTATCTATCATCTTTCAATTTTTTTTTAGAGACAGGGCCTCACTATCTTGCCCAGGCTGGAGTGCAGTGGCTATTCACGGGAGTGATCCCGCTACTGATCATTATGGGTGTTTAGACTTGCTCCATTTCCAATCTGGGCTGGTTCACCCCTCCCTAGGCAACCTGGCAGTCCCTTGATCCTGCGAGGTCACCATATGGATGCCAAACTTAGTGTGGACCCCTGATCTGTGTAGTGTACCACAGCTTGGAACTTCTGGACTCAAGCAATCCTCCTGCCTCAGCCTCCTGAGTAGCTGGTATTACAGGTGTCAGCCACTGGCTATCTATCTGTCCATCAATCATCTATTTATCTGTTTATTATCTATTGATCTATCATTGATCATCTGTTTATATATCTATCATCAATCAATCAATATATCTGTCTCTTGAGCTATCATCCATCTATTGATCTATCATTGATCTATTATTTAATGGGCACGTGTTGAATGTCTAATACATGGCTCTGAACTGAGTCTCGGGAAGGGAAATGCAAAGATCTTGGCTTCCCTTTAAGACCCTCCCATTTAGGAGAGGATAAAAGATGCATCAGCTTTATCAACATCGTCTCAACAGAAGCCAGAATGGAGTGAATGCCACACAAGAGGAAAACAGTGCTTGAGAATTCGTTGTTTTTAAAAAATGCATCATGGAGAAAGGGAATCTGAGCTCTGTATCTCCAGTCAAGGAATGATATGAACCGAAACACACATGTTCTGGAAAATTGATCAGATTGTGGCGTGTGGTGTAAACAGGCAGCTGGCAGAGCTGGAGGCCAGATATGGAGTTGGGAGAGGCGGTGAGAGAGGAATGTGAAAGCCAGGCCGTGCCTGCCAGTGCAGAGATGGACTGGACCGGACTGGGTGCCCAGGTGGATGAAGCCTGGGTGGGCGTTCAATAGCTGGGACACAATCTTTTCTCTTCAAATAGAACACCTATCAAGGGAGATCTCAGCATCAGGTGCCCCAGCCTGAGCAGTGCTTGCTGAAGGTGTGTGGAGCAGCAATGGTTGGTTGTCTCAGCGGACACAGGGGCTGTCATGTCTTTATCCTCCAGGCCTTGGAATGATGCTATTTGCTATGTGACATTTGAATCTCTGGAGCACTGACCTCGAGCCACCATGTGGTCTATTTAAATTGTGTGTTACTTGGCTATGGCTGCCATAACAAAAGACCACAGATTGGGGGCCTTAAACAATAGAAATACATTTTCCCCAAGTTCTAGAGGCTGGAAATCCAAGATCAAACTGTCAGCAGGTTTGGTTTCCCCTGAGGCCTCTCTCCTTGATGTACAAACCACCTTCTTTCTCATGGTGTCTTCACGCGGTCTCTCCTCCGCGTGTGCGCATCCTGGGTGTCTCTTCCTCTTCTTATAAGGAACCAGACCTATTTGGTTTAGGGCCTCAGTCTTATGACCTCATGTAACCTTAATTACACCCTCGAAGGCCCCAACTCCAAATACAGTCACATTGAGGGGTAGGGCGTCCACATATGAATTTGGGTGAGGGACACAAGTTAGTCCATACCATACGGCTACTTGGTATATTTCTTTTATCCTATAAGCTTCTAAAGACCAGGGGCCATGTTGTATTCACTTTCCACAGTGTCTGACACAGAGATAATCCCCATATACTGGTTGAATTAATTGGCTGCAGGATGAAGCCAGAGATACAGGGCTGCTGCCTCCAGCTGCCCAGGCTGTGCACTGCAGAGCTCCACCTAGAGGACGCCGTGAATATTGCTGCTTGGGGTTGTGTAGGGCTATGTTCTGCTGGTTGGCGATGATTTGGAATGTGTCTTTTTTCTTAATTTTCTAAACGTTGCCATGTTCTGCTTCCACAGCTGTGTAAACTCTGAGTGCCTCGAGTGTAAACAGTATTATATCTATTAGTCTGTGAGTAACAGAAACGTTATGTTAAACACAAGAAACCTCATGTCAAACACAAGAGGATTTTTTTTTTTTTTTTTTTTTTTTTTTTTTTTTACATAATAAGTCTGGAGATAGGCAGTTACTGCCTGTGGTTTAGAGCAGAGGTTTATAATTTTTTTTTTCTGATAGTCAATATTTTTAGCATTGTGGGCCAAGTGGTCTCGGTTACAACCACTCCCCTTTGTCATAGACAGGGCAAAATTAGCTCCAGACAAATAAATGAGCATGACTGTGTTCCAACAAAACTATTTACTAAAACAAGTAGTGGGCCAGATTTGACTCATGGGCTGTAGTTTGACAGCCCTCATGTATACCACAGCCAAAGCTTTTGCAGTTTTTTTGATCTTTTGACCATGGGACCCTCATGGTCCCAAGATGGCTGCTACAGCTCTGGTCATCATGTCTATCTTCCAGGCAGGAAGAAAATGGAAAGAGCTTGGCAAAAGGAGTGTCTGCCAGCCAAGCAAGCCTTGTGTATTTTTTTTTGATGTGTTTGTTTTACTTTGGGCACAGTGCCATCCCAAGCAATATAAGGTTTCTCTTACTGAGGAAGAACAGAAGAATAGACAGTAAGTAGCACCACTCAGCCCCTAGCACCACCACTTTAAAAAAAAATCCTCCAACTCCTAGAGTAGTACTGTGCTGAGCACACTGCAGGAAATCCATGAATAACGGCTTCTCGTTTCCTCTCATACTTGTTTCTGGTCACCTCTGGTCTCTTCACTTCATTATTAAATCCTTAGAGAGGACTACAACCTTCGCAGTCTAACTTTGTAAAAAGATGACTCAAATTTTCCGATTCTTGGTAAAAAAAAAACCACACACACCTCAACAGCTCCTTTCATGCTATATAGATTTCCAGGCAGGGAACAAAAGACAGAAAGAGACGGGAAGGCAGAAAGGAGACTATTATGCATTGCTGGCTCAGCAGTAATTGTTGGCAGCTTTCGGAGAGTCGGGAGGTGAGGGCTCAGGCGGCTTTGGGGCGTGATTGATGGGTTATGATGGGGACCAGGAGGCATCTGTCCTGTGTGTTTGAGGATTTGGGGAAGCAGATCCTGTGGTGCGTCTCAAGCATGCATTCTGATGCTGCCTCCTCCAGGAGTATTTTAGGAGAAGGCAGGGATTCTCCGCAAAACTCAGGCTCTGCTCTGTTTTCCATGAGTGTTTCCAAATCCCAGAGCTCAGACCCTGATGAAACTCTTTCAGTCTTGTGAGGCGTGGGGTGTGGCAGAAAGTCCCTAAGCTCCCAGACCCAGGGAGAGCAGTGTTCTCCGGGACCTACAGCGTAATAGTTTCTCTTTCTGCTCCCTCTCCTGCCATCCCTCCCCGCTTTCCAGAATGAGTCTATGGTGAGGACTGGATAGGACAGGAAGAAAGATGCCTGGAGTTAGTGTAGAATCAAGGAGATCTGACACAGAAAAGAAGGAGACGACCCTGGACCCGTCCAGCCTCTTCCCTTGATTTGGGAGTGGCCCGGAGGATGATCTGGGTCCCTGGTTTTCGAATCTCTTTGGCAGTTCTCTCTGACACCCGTCCTGGCCACAGCCCCTCCCTTTCCGACCCTTTCCTCACTGCATTCTCTTTCCAACCTTCCGTGTTTTTTTTTTGTTGTTTTTGTTTTTTGATGCATTGCTGGGAATGCCTGCTACAGACTTAATTAGGCCTCCTCCAAATTCATATTTTGAAGCCCTAACTTCCAATGTGATTATATTTGGAGGTAGGGCCTTTAAGGGGGTGAGTAAGGTTAAAGGAAATCATAAAGGTGGGACTGTTCTCTTCAAAAAAACTGGTGTTCTTATAACAAAAGGAAAAAGACACCAGAGATCTCTGTCTCAGACAGAAAAAGCTACGGGAGGACACAGTGAGAAAGTGGCTGTCTGCACGCCAGGACAACAGCCCTCACCAGAACCCAACCACACCAGCACTTTGACCTTGGACTTCCAGCTTCCAGGACCGTGAGAAAATAAATGTCTGCCGTTTAAGCCATCCAGACTGTGGTACTCCGTTATAGTAACCAGTGAGACAGTACCCACCCCACCTGCAGTCCTGGAAGGCACAGGTCAGTGTGTGGGTTCTGGATATTTGTGGCTTTAGCAACTGGAATTTTTATTTATTTATTTGAAATAGGGTCTGACTCTGTCACCCAGGCTGGAGTTCAGTGGCGCAATCACAGTTCATAGCAGCCTTGAACTCCTGGGTCCAAGTGATCCTCCTGCCTCAGCTTCATGAAAAACTGGGACCACAGGTGTGCACCACCATGCCTGGCTATTTTTAAAAATGTTTTGTAGAGATGGGATCTCGCCATGTTTCCCAGGCTGGTCTTGATCTCCTGGGCTCAAGAAATCCTTTCACCTTGGCCTCCTAGATTGCTGCGATTATAGGCGTGAGCCGCTACGTTCGACACAACTGGAATTTTTAGATGCCAATGTAGTCTCAACACTTTCTCCAGACATCCACACTAATGTGGTGAGGTGTATTGCTGGCTTAAAACAACAACAGGCCGGGCGCGGTGGCTCACGCCTGTAATCCCAGCACTTTGGGAGGCCGAGGCAGGCGGATCACGAGGTCAGGAGATCGAGACCATCCTGGCTAACACGGTGAAACCCTGTCTGTACTAAAAATACAAAAAAATTAGCCCAGCGTGGTGGCGGGCGCCTGTAATCCCAGCTACTTGGGAGGCTGAGGCAGGAGAATGGCGTGAGCCCTGGAGGCAGAGCTTGCAGTGAGCCGAGATCATGCCACTGCACTCCAGCCTGGGCGACAGAGCAAGACTCTATCTCAAAAAAAAAAAAAAAAAAACAGCAACAACACACCACAACAACGCCAACGTGTTCCCTGCCTATCCTCCTTCTCACTGTGAAACATATTTCGGACTGTGGAGAAAGCTTTCTAGTTAAGCAGGAAATTCCTTTCCATCTTTCAGGGCCCAGCTCATTTCTGACCCTTGTGAATGTTCCTTAATTTCCTCCCAGACTGAAGAATCCTTCTCTTTCTGGGTTTCCAGGTACCTTGCTTGTAACTCTACCCAAAGCACTTTGCTTTTAATTCTATAACAGTTCCTATCTTTCTTGATTCGAATACTTTATTCACGTGCTTGTAAAGTTTCCCAGACTGCAAGGACCTTGAGGCTAGAGGCCAGGTCCTGTCTGCCCTCACCCCAGCAGCTCCATGCCCAGCACACAGCCTGGCTCAGAGAATGAGCTCCGAACATGTTTGCAGGATGAGGGCCAAGGTGAACAGTGGCCTTCAGGGGCCCTGGCTGCTGGTGCCATGTGGGAGGGACATCTGTTGGTTCCCATCCGTCATTCCGGTTGCACCTGGCTGCTGCGCTCATTCGGCACAGAAGGCTGAACCGGGCACCTCAGTCATTTTTATTTTTTAACCATCATTTCCCAGGGTGACCCTGAGCCGGGCCGCAGCAGTGGAGGGAGCCCTGTTGTGGGAGCAGGTCTGGGATGACTGTGTGCTGAGGGCAGTTGTGAGGTCAGTGGGTAAAGGGAGGAAGTTGCCCTTTGGCAGTGTTTAAAATCTGGAATCTAAGTTTTATTCATGGTGTGGTGTAGATGAGTGAATATGCAACTATCTGAGTGTGTTCCCCACACAAGGGAGTCATCCCTCCCAGCAGATTTCCAGAACCTCTCGGAATAAACCTTCTGGCCCGTGTGTGGATCAACAACAGCTGCTCTCTCACAGCTGCCACAATTGTAGCTGTCCTTTAGGGCTTCTAAACTTCCAACCAGGGTGCCCTGGCAGAAAGCACTTCATGACGAGTCCAGAGTGAGCCCAGCATTGGGAAGGCTGCAGCACCTGTCTCCAAGCCAGAGTGGTGGCAAACCCAGAGACCAAGAGGGGCAGCCTTGCCATCAATGATGTCGCCTTTGGATCCCTGGGCATCTCCAAGGGGCTTCACCTGCTGCCCATGCAGGGCTCCCCACTGGATGCGGCCTGGCTCAGGGTCCACCTGGGAAATGAGAGCAAAAGCACATTATTATGATGGCTCCACTCTTTTCATGGGAAAAAGTATATATTTAGGATTAGCCAGCTGGATGCAGTTTATTTTATTTTTTAATTAATTACTTTTAATTTTTGAGATGGGGTCTCACACGGTTACCCAGGCTGGAGTGCAGTGGTATGATCATGGCTCACTGTAGCCTCAACCTCCTGGGCTCAAGTGATTCTCCCACCTCAGCCTCCTGAGTAGCTGGGACCACAAGCGTGAGCTACCATGCTGCGCTAATTTTTAAAAATTTTTAAAAATTTTGTAGAGATGAGGTCTCACTATGTTGCCCAGGCTGGTCTTGATCTCCTGGGTCCAAGGGACCCTCCCACCTTGGCCTCCCAAAGTGCTGGGCTTACAGGTGTGAGCCACCATGCCCAGCTCTGGACACAGTTTAGATGACCCGGTTTTGTGGGCAGCATCCAAACCATCTTAGCCAGGTGCCAATTGAACCTCGGGCCTGAGCAGGGTATGGGCCTTGGGCATACCGATGTCGGAGGGCTTCTTTCCAGCCTGTTTGCCCAGCGCCTGCCAGCTTTGACATCCATAAGAAGCACGTGTGTGGTTGTCTTCTGTTAGGCTGGTGCAAAAGTAATTGCGGTTTTTGCCATCTAAAGTAATGGCAAAAACCATGATTACTTTTGCACCAATCTAATAACGTCTTTATGGCGGACTCGGGTTGGGGACGCTCCTTCGGGTGCTCTTCCGAGGATAGCTGGGCTGTCTCCGGAGCTGCAGCGTCTTGGGCCGCCGGAGGGTGGCTGACGGCGGATCTACTTTTTGTGGCTGTGGACACCTTTCAGCACCGCCTCCTTGGTCCTCAAAGCCCCTACTGTGGCTTGGGCTTTGGGAGGGGCAGGCGCTTCCTTCATTACCTTGGGCGCCATCTTGAGAAAAGGGTCCTGGCAGTTCCGTTTCCGGTGCCTCCCGCGGGTGGCGAGCCTTCGAGATGGCCGCATCGGGCAAGTGCTGCTGTCTTCTCTGCTTTACAGATGTGGGGAGGTCTGGGAGGTTAAACCGTTTCCTCCAGATCACATTCCCGGGAAGACGAACCCAGCTGTGCCTGACTGCTCCTTTCTTCTCACTGCTTCTGCGGAGGTGGAGACGCCCGCGTAGCCCGTGTTGTCTTCCTCTGCCCACTCCAGGCCAAGCATCCCCCTTCCTGTCACGCGCTCTTTGATGGCTTCACTGTCCTGGACACCCCCTCAGATCTGTGCTGTCTCAGAGAAAGCAAGCGAGAATGGGCCCACGGTGCTCCTCGTCTTTGGAAATGGATTTTACCTTTATAAGTGAGAGCTTTCAGAGGCACAGAGTCCTGGGGCTGCATAGGAACAGGGGGCCTGGTCGGGGCTCTTTTCCTTTCCGGGACCTCTTTCTCTATAAAGAAAATAAAAATGCGATTTGAGGACTGTTGGTACAAATATGAATGTAATCTAGGCTGGATTCATAACTGTATATTATTATTATATTAAAATTTGACTTGAAAAGAAGTGGGGGCTGGGCGTGGTGGCTCACGCCTGTAATCCCAACACTTTGGGAGGCTGAGGTGGGTGGATCACGAGGTCAAGAGATCGAGACCATCCCGGCTAACATGGTGAAACCTCGTCTCTACTAAAAAATACAAAAAAATTAGCTGGGCGTGGTGGCGGGCGCCTGTGGTCCCAGCTACTCGGGAGGCTGAGGCAGGAGAATCGCTTGAACCCAGGAGGCAGAGGTTGCAGTGAGCTGAGATCAAGCCAGTGCACTCCAGCCTGGGCGATAGAGCGAGACTCTGTCTCAGAATAAATAAATACATTAATTAATTAATAAGAGTGGAAGTAAGAACGTTTTCTTGGGTCCCTAAAATATTGTGGGCTCCAGACACTGGAGGATAAGTCACCCCGAGTGTCCTACCCTTTATAATGAGTGGGAATTTAGCCATGGGGCTGGGCCGAAAGGGGCTGCTTTGGGGAAGTGATCCTTCTGGGATCCTGTAACTGCTGAAGATCAGAACAAAAGGGGAGATTGTTGAGGTTAGCTTTTTAACTTTTTTGAGACAGGGTCTCACTCTGTCACCCAGGCTGGAGTGCAGTGGCGTGATCTTGGCTCACTGCAGCCTTGATTTCTCATGCTTAAGCAATTTTCATGCCTCAGCCTCCAGAGGAGCTGGGCTGGGACTACAGGTACACACCACCATGCACGGCTGATTTTTTAATTTTTTGCAGAGACAGGGTCTCCCTATGTTGCCCAGGCTGAGGTGAGCTTTTTAGTGTCACCATTAAGCTGCTTGAAGCTCGGGGTCCTCTGCATGTTCTTAGTTTTCATGAATGAGCTGCAGGTTCACCCCTAAATATTTGCCAGCCACTGCTCAGGCACAGGTTTGTGGTCTGAGTCGTTGGTGCGCAGACGTCCTGAACTCCATTGGCCCTGACCTGCGGGTGACAGGTGCAGCAGGCTCAAAAGCTGCCCAGGTCCATTTGCACCCTCCTGGTGTTTAGCGTTTGGCCACACGGGGGCACGAGCGGGACAGCCTAGATCGGCCTGCGTCCCATCTGGGCCGTGGGAGGAGCCGCGGGAGAAGCCTTGGGCCTCGCCAAGCTGACTGTGGCCTGGGCCCAGGAGGGTGTCATCTAGAAGGCCCCTGCTCCCTGCCACCATCAGTAATCCCCAGCCCTGGAGGCATTGAAGGCAACTCAGTCCCAGGGAGCCACGGGCTGGGTGGAGCTGGGCCACCCTGATTACAGGTCGTTCAGAGCTGGTGGCCTGGGGGTGTCACACCCCGGGCCTCGGACTTCTTACCTGAAACACGCAGGGTGCCTGCGAAAGGTCTCAAAGGTCACTTTATGCTCTCAATTCTTCTAAAATTAAAATTAATTTAAAAAGACTTTTTCAGCTTTATTGAGGTATAATTAACAAATAAAAATTGTATATATTTAAGGTGTACATGATGCTTTGATATATGTATAGACCGAAATGATTATCAGTCAAACTAATGAACAAACCCATCAGCTCACGTAGCGACAGTATTTCTGTGTGTGTGGTGAGAACACTTAAGATAAAATCTTTTAGCAAATTCCCAGGATACAGTATTATTAACTGTACTCATGATGCCATACATTAGATCTCAAATAACTTACTCATCCTGCATAGCTAAAATGTTATACCCTTTGACTGACTCAGATCTTAATTCTGCAGAAAATGCACCAGGGCTGAAGTGTAAGGAGACAAGGAGGGTCTCCAGGGACCACCATAGGATTTTTTTTTTTTTTTTTGAGACAGGGTCTAGCTCTGTTGCCCAGGCTGGAGTGCAGTAGTGTGATCACAGCTCACTGCAGCCTTGACCTCCTGGGTTCAAGTGATCCTCCCATCTCAGCCTCCTGAGTACAGCTGGGACCACAGGTGTGCGCCACCACATCCAGGGACCGGAGGAATTTAATCCAGTTGAGCCATCAGCCTGGGTTACAGCCTCCTGCCCTGCAGCCTACTCTTCCCAACCCTGGGTGGAATGAGGCCACCCTGTTGGTCAGAACCAGCTCCTGAAAGACCCTGGCAACTTAGACGTGAATCCCAGTGAACTTTCCTCATGACAATGCTAAGTCTCTACCCTGGAAAAGCTGCAGCTTCAGGACCATAACATGCAACCCATGTGCTGGCATGATGACAGGGTCCTGTGCCACAGAGACCCCTGCTCTACATGCGACGATGCACCCTCTGCCCTCTCCATTGCCCCATAATACCCTCCTGTCACTTTCCCTTGGAGAGACACTGCTTTGAGAATATGCCCAGTGCCCTCCTTATTGGAGCCAAGTAATAAACTCATGGATCAAAACTTGCATTCTCACAGAGAGTCATTGTTGCTTGACAGGGGAATGAACCCTGCTATTTTTCGGGTAGCAGAAGCTCATGTTTCATGGCACGGCCAGTTTCTGATACCTGCTTGGCCATTACCTTGGCTGGGTGACGTGAGGCAAGTCACCTTTCCTCTCAGATTCTCTCTTTGTGTGTTGTTGGCCCTGTCATTTCATTTTTTATTTTTGTTTTTGAGACAGTCTCATTTTGTCACCTAGGCTGGAATGCAGTGGCATGATCTCAGCTCACTGCAACCTTCGCCTCTTGGGTTCAAGCACTTCTCGTGCCTCAGCCTCCCAAGTAGCTGGCACTACAGGTACACACCACCATGCCTGGCTAATTTTTGTATACTTTGGAGAGACGGGGTTTCGCCATGTTGTCCAGGCTGGTCTTGAACTCCTGAGATCAAGTAATCCTCCTGCCTCAGCCTCCCAGAGTGCTGGGGTTACAGGCGTGAGCCACCGCACCCAGCCAGCCCTGTCCTTTCAATGGACCCTAGCTTGTCTGGGAGCATTCTTTGTGGGGTGAGAGGGGAGTCCATGTAAACTTTGTTTTCTACCTCCATCCCCCACACTGGCTGAGGAAGTTCTGGCTGGGGGCTGTCTCAGAGGAAGGGGGCTGCCTACAGGGGGCCAGGTGATTCCATCACCCGGAACCTCGAACCTTCCACTGTCCTGCTGCTGAGGCCTGGAGGGACAGTTGAGTCTGGGGAGAAAAAAAGCCAGGAGAACTGTGCCTGAAGTAGAAAGTCCACTAATTTGTCCCACAACCATAACCCTGCACCCCCGGCTCCCACGCGGCTTCGTCCGGACCCGGCAATGAACCGCTTCCCCAGGTGCTTGTTATTTAAACTGTCTCCACCATCCTGTGACTTCTCTTAAATTTAACCATCTTGGTGTCTTGCCATCCGGCCCCGAACAGGGGTGTGGAGGAGTTAGCTGGGTGCTGACGGATGAACGCAGAGTTCTGGGTCCTGCTCCGGGTTCGTTTTGTAGAAATGTATCGAGGGAATGAATCATTTTCATCAATGGGTGTTTTCCCTCCTATCTTTTCATTTCTTTTTGTTTTAGGACATCTTAGTATCTTGGAATTCTGGGAAGGAGAATGTAAACATTTTTCAGAACCAGCATTTTCCCGTCTTCTGTTTGGTCTGGGGCGTGTCTTGGCCTCTCCTGGGATGTGGTGGCTGTGGAAGGCTGGTGGGGGTGCACCTTCCACAGCACCCCGAGACCCTGGGTAGCTCCCACGTGCCTGCTCTTGCTTTCAGCCCTAAGGGCCAGCTGGTGGGGCCGCCACTCAGCTCAGGGCTGGTGCAGGGCGCTCAGGGCATGTCTTTTGTCCTGATGGGCTCTGGAGGCCGCAACCTCAATTCTGCCTTTTGGTTTTCCCAAGTGAAGGAGAAACACCCAGCCCGGGGTGGGTGGGATGACGCTCGGCTCCGAGTGGAGGCTGGAACACAAAGTGAGTTTCTCCGGAGTGTGGGTTCCTCCTCTGCCATGTGGCAGCCTCCCCATTTCTTCCTCCTCCCCCTGTCCCACGCACTCATCAACCACCTAAGCCTAAACCACTTTCCCAGCGGCTCCCTCCTCCTTCCTCTGTGGATCCTGGGACTCTGTGGCCCATGAGATACCTCCAGCTTCCCTGACCTGGAGGCCAAGGTCACCTGCCCAGTAGCCTTAACTTTGGCAGGGCAGGTGTCCCGAGACCTCCCTCCCTGGGACCCCAGCCACCTCCCCCACAGCCTGCCCATTCTCCATCCCCCCTCCCTGTAAGCCAGGCTCCAAAGCCAGTCATAACAAGGCACAAGAAAGGAAAGCGGAGAAAAGGAAAAACGTGTATCTTGGCCTCAACACAAACCTAGAGACGATTCACTTCCAAACCACTGAAAACAAGGACGTGCCAGGGCTCTGATGCAAGGGTCTGATGCCGTGCGCTCACTCCTGGCCTTGCAGAAAGGGGTCTCTGTTGGGGGTGGGGGTGAGAATGGGGAGCGACAAGGGAGGAGACAGTCCCCCCACTCCGAAGCAGGGCTGAAAGTTGAGCCCCCATAGGGCTTCCCACATGGAGCAGGCACAGGGGAGGAAGTGGCTGTCTGGAGGGCAGACTGTCAGGCAGCCTTTGCCAGTCCTGGCCCCTCTTCCCCCTCCTCAGCCCTCCATGCAACCCCAGCCTCTCCCAGAGGGCCTGACTGTGGTTTTTCCTGTTAACTCCGCCTGTTCTTCTTCTGCGGCCTTTGAAGCTCAGCTCTTTCCTTCCATGCTGTAACCTCAAATCCCGGCCCCTCCGCTTCCTTCGGTGGGGGATTGTCCTTTCTTTCCAGGTCCCTGCATCCTTGTCCAGGAGCAGCCATCAGTGTGGAGCTGGGGCTTGGAGATCTTGCTCCCCGCTGCCTCTAGGGCTCAGGGGCATGGCTGCCGACCACACAGGGGCAGGTGGGTATGTGTGCTCCCTGCAGGAGGACAGGTCTGGCATGAGTCAGATGCCTGCTACTGTGGTCTGTGGGACTTGGAGGGGTGTCCCTGACACTGAGCAGCTCCTTTCTTCTCACACAGTTCTGGAAAAGCCCATGAGGGTGGGGCAATTGCTGCTTGGAGATTGTCTCTTACGAGGGAAGAGGAGGAAGGATTCATGCATTCCTTCACTCACTCACTCATTTACTCCTTGATCATTTCAGCACTGAGTGGGCACCTGCACTGTTCCGGTCTCTTTCCATAGATTGAGAGGTGGGCTCTTCCAGATTGACAGATGGGCTTGACATAGTCTCAGGCTCTGTGCACGGGGCTCCTGGGGCAGCTCAGAGCTGCAGTGCAATCAGGTTATACCCCATAAGGAGAAGCTGCCTGGGACCTTGACCCCTGGCCAGCAGAACAGCTGCTGCAGCTGTCACTGATTACCGAGCCTGCGTGGGCCTCGGGGTCGAGTGTCATTTGTCACTCCGGAGAGGACATACTGATGCCTCTCACAGCTTGTGGAGGAAACGTGCAGGCCCGTGGGGTTTCATAGGCTAGCGAGGGCCCTGCAGGCATGACCCAGGCCAGGAGCGGCTTTCTCAGTCTGTCCGTGAGGCCCTGGTCCAGGGAGCCTTCCAGGGCCCGGGCATGTGGCCACCCACTTTCTCAACCTCCTTCCTGAACAAGACACACTTTTTAAGGCTCAGTCTGGAGCTGACCTTCTCCCTGTGATACTTGGTGATGAGAAGTCTTTCCACCTCCCGAGCCTTGCCCTTTTTGGGGGCATGAGATCCTGGGATGTTATTAACCCTCTGAGGCTCGGTTCCTCATCAGCAGCTTGGGAATCATTGTAGTTCCTACCTCCAAAATTCTTAAAAGGCCTGTTGTTATCATTCAACTCTCCAGACAGTTTAAAAGAAAAGTGCTGGAGAAACAGATCATGATAACAGCACATTTTATTGTAGTCTTCTGACGAGCCATGTAGTGAGGTACACCCACTACTTTCTAGGTGTAGAGAGTAGAGAAATCCGCTCAATCCTGAGTTTGATAATGAGGAAAGAGGCCCGGAGAAATTAAGAAATGCATATAAGGGCACACACTGTTAAACAGTAGAGCTGGGATTGCCACCTAGATGTTGGATGATGGAACCCACGCTTAACCACTACCCTGTCCCACCTCCCAGCGAGGGGAAGAGAAACAGCCACAGAGCCTCTGCCTTCTTTTAAAGCACATGGCTTCACCTTCAGAGTGGAATGCTGAGCCCTGCCTGGGCTTGCCCTGCGGCGTTTGGGCGAGGAGCTGAGGTCCTTGCAAAGAGTGGTGTGGTTGGTGCATGGTTGCGTGTGCACTGCCCAGATGCAGAGTGTGGACTTTGCTCAGAAGCACAGCATCTGTGAAGCTTTCGGAAATTATCCCTCTGGCTCCAGCCCTTTCTAGAGATCTCCACGCACATCTCTGCATGAAGGTTTCAGAGTCACTGGATTTCCCAGGGCCTTCTCTTTGCTAGGAATGTCTGAGACGCGCTCTGCAAGATGAGTTGGCAGCATCTCTGTGCCTCTGGTTTTGCCAGGCTCCACCAACATCCCGCTAAGAACTCTTCACCCTCAAGGTAAAACCCAAACTCCTTAGCACAGTATTCAAGGGCCTGCTTCCCTGCCTACCTGCCCGCCTGCCTACCTGCTTACTTGCTCACCTGCCTACCTGCTTACTTGCTCACCTGCTTACCCGCTTGCCCGCCATACTTACCTGTCCAGCTCATCTTCCCCGGCCCTCCTGCTGCTGTTCTGCGTGGGAACTGCCGCTCTCCCATCTTCTCCAGCCAGCCCTCCTCTCTACTGCCGCATCCGCGGCCCTTCACTGTCCTCACGACTGATGCATCCACCCTGGTCCACCTGCCCCAGATGCTCCTTAGGGCAGCAGCCCCGCTGAAGCATCTTCACATTCCCATAGAAAACTGTGGGATGCCAGACAGGGACAAGCACCTCCAAGATGAGGGGATCAGAACTAGAAATGAAAAGGGATTTGTCGTTCATCACCAAGAAAACCAACACGAGAGGCGGGATTGGAACCCTGTCCCATGGCATCTGGGGTCGATTTGTTTAGGGGGCCACGGGGCTTTTTCTCCCATGTCCACCTTAGTGCACTGAGGGGAACCCCAGTGAAGGCCAATGAGGGAAACCACACATCACTGAGGGCCGACGGAGGCCCCCAAAGCTCAGATCGCTGTGCTCGCCAGTAGGTAAGCATCCCCTGTGAAGAAAGCCTACCTTCTCTCTCCCTCCCCAGATCCCCATATCCAGACAGAGTGAGGAAATGCATAAAAACAAAACACAAAACACACTCCTTCCCCAGGTCCCCAGACACCCTTAACACAGCTATCTGCAGGATTGAATGATTGCTGGGACCACACAATTTACACTTGGCTCTCGTGGTCCGGAGGGGAGGACTGCGCCAGCATGAGAAGACCAGAGAGCAAGTAAATGGAAATTTGGCGAGATCCTGTGGCTGCTGTTGGTGGCTGCAGCCAGACAGGAAAACTGAGATGGTGTGAGCAGAAAGGGCTGGAAGGAGTTGGCTTTTTCCAAGAAATTACAGCGGAATCTTCTTCCAAGAGGCTGGGGGCCTCTGCAGACATGATCTCATTACTTACCCCCCAAATCCCCCAGCTTCCCTACGGACCAAGGACCAGGGGTCTCTGCCCAGTCCTAGCTCCAAGGAAACTCACACTTGGCAGATTTTCCTAATCGGAGCTGGCCTTGAAGTTTGCTCACTGATAATCACCAGAAAGTCACCCCAACAATGGGTGATGCCAGAGTGTCCTCAAGCTTCAAGGGTCCGTAAAAACACTTGACTCCCCCAGGACAAAAATGACTGGGGGAAACATGCAGTTCTTCAAAGAGAACGGTTTCATTCTGTACCAAAGGGTGTCTTAATTTGCCTTGGCAAGAGAGGCAGCACCGTGTTGTGGGTGGACAGCACTCGGGGGGTGGACGGCACTCGGGGGGTGGGCGGCACTCGGGGGGGTGGGCGGCACTCGGGGGGGTGGGCGGCACTCGGGGGGTGGGCGGCACTCGGGGGGGTGGGCGGCACTCGGGGGGTGGGCGGCACTCGGGGGGTGGGCGGCACTCGGGGGGGTGGACGGCACTCGGCTGGGTGGGCGGCACTCGGGGGGTGGGCGGCACTCGGGGGGGTGGACGGCACTCGGCTGGGTGGGCGGCACTCGGCGGGGTGGGTGGCACTCAGGGGGATGGGCGGCACTCAGCGAGGCGGGCGGCACTCCGGGGGGTGGACGGCACTCAGGGCATCGGCGGCACTCGGGGAGCCGACCACCCACATGTTGGAGCCTCTTCTCTGCCACAAGCCCTTTGCCAGACACTGACCATTGACACAAGGTGCGTCAGAGCTGGGCCTTAGCAAGCAGGGGCAGAGTTGTGCTTATGATAGGGGCTAAATGAAGTCCTGGAGTTGGTGCAGAAGAA